>NT_187512.1:46350-71251 GCF_000001405.40 Homo sapiens | reverse complement strand
TTGTGATGTGTGTATTCATCTCACAGAGTTGAATCTTTCTTTTGATTGAGCAGTTTTGGAACTTTCTTTTTGTAAAATCTGCATGTGGTTGTTTGGAGCCCTTTGTGGCCAATGGAGGAAAAGGAAATATGTTCCCCTAAAAACTACACAGAAGTATTCTGAGAAAATTCTTTGTAATGTGTGCATTCATCTCACAGTGTTAAATTTTGTATTGTTTGAACAGATTTGAGACACTTTTTTCACAGAATCTGCAAGTGGATATATGGAGCGCTTTGAGGCCTATGGTGGAAAGGGATATATCTTCACATAAAAACTACACAGAAGGATTCCGAGAAATTTCTTTGTGATGTGTGCATTCAACTCGCAGCATTGTCCCGATCTTTTGATATAGCAGTTTTGAAACAGTCTTTTTGTAGAATCTGTGTGTGATTATTTGGAGCCCATTGTGGCCAATGGTGGAAAAAGAAATATCTTCCTCTAAAAACTACAGAAACATTGTGAGAAACTTCCTTGTGATGTATACATTCAGCTCACAGAGTTGAACCTTTCATTTGATTGAGTAGTTTTGAAACACTCTTTTTGTAGAATCTGCAATTGGAAATTTGGAGTGTTTTGTCGCCTAATGTGGAAAAGGTAACATCTTCACATACAAACTACACAGAAGGATTCTGAGACACTTCTTTGTTTTGTGTGCATTTGTGTCACAGGGTTGATCCTTTCTTTAGACTGAGCAGTTTTGAAACACTCTTTTTGTAGAATCTGCAAGTGGTATTTGAGCACGTTGAGGCCTATGGTGGAAAAGGAGATATCTTCAAGTAAAAACTACAGAGAAGCATTCTGAGAAACTTGTTTCTGAGGTGTGCATTCATCTCACAGAGTTGAATATATATTTTGATAGAGCAGTTTTGAAACTCTCGTTTTGTAGAATCTGCAAGGGGATATTTAGAGACCTTTGCGGCCTATGTTGGGAAGGGAAATATCTTCACATAAGAACTGCACAGAAGCATTGTGAGAAACTTCTTTGTGATGTGCTCATTCATCCCACAGAGTTGAAACTTTCTTTTGATTGAAGAGTTATGAAACACTCTTTATGAAGAATCTGCAAGTGGAAATTTGGAGCGCATTGAGGCCTATGGTGGAAAATGAAACATCTTCACATAAAAACTACACAGAAGCATTCTGAGAAACTTCTTTGTGATGTGTGCATTCATCTCACAGAGTTGAAACTTTCATTTCATAGAGCCGTTTTGAAACACTCTTTTTGTAGAATCTGCAAGTGGATATTTTGAGCGCTTTGAGGTCTATAGTGGAAAAGGAAATATCTTCATATAAACACTATGCAGAAACATTCTGAGAAACTTCTTTGTGATGTGTGCATTCATCTCATAGTGTTGAACCTATCTTTTTATATAGCAGTTTTGAAACTCTTTTTGTAGAATCTGCAAGAGGATATTTGTAGCCCTTTGCTGCCTATTGTAGAAAAGGAAATATCTTCTCATAAACATTACACAGAAGCATCCTGAGAAACTTCTGTCTGATGTGTGCATTCAGCTCACAGAGTTGAACCTATCTTTTCATAGAGCAGTTTTGAAACTCTCTTTTCGTAGAATCTGCAAGTGGATGTTTGGAGCCCTTTGTGGCCTATTGTAGGATAGGAAATATCTTCACATAAAAACTACACAGAAGCATTCTGAGAAACTTCTTTGTGATGTGTGCATTCAACTCACAGAGTTGAATCTTTCAGTTGATTGAGCAGTTTTGAAACACTCTTTTTGTTGAATCTGCAATTGGATATTTGGAGTGCGTTGAGGCCTATTGTGGAAAAGGGAATACTTTCACATAAAAGCTACACAGAAGCTTTCTCAGAAAGTTCTTTGTTTTGAGTGCAGTCATCTCACAGAGTTGAAATTTCTTTTCATTGAGCAGTTTTGAAACACTCTTTTTGTATAATCTGCACGTGGATATTTGGAGCACTTTGAGGCCTATGGTGGAAAAGGAAATATCTTCACATAAAAACTACACAGAAGCATTCTGAGAAAATACTTTGTGATGTGTGCATTCATATCACAGAGTTGAACCTGTTTTTGATAGAGCAGTGTTGAAATTCTCTTTTTGTGCAATCTGCAAGTGGATATTTGGAGTCCTTTGTTGCCTGCTGTGGAAAAGGAAATACATTCTCTTAAAAGCTGCAGAGAAGCATTCCAGGAACCTTCTTTGTGATGTGTGCATTGAATTCACAGAGTTGAAGCTTTCTTTTGATTGAGTAGTTTTGAAACACTGTTTTCGTAGAATCTGCAAATGGATATTATAGAGCGTTTTGAGGCCTATGGAGGAAAAGGACATATCTTCACATAGAAACTACCCAGAAGCATTCTGTGAAACTTCTTTGTGATGTTTGCATTCAACTCGCAGAGTTGAACCTATCTTTTGATAGAGCAGTTTGGAAACTCTCTTTTTATAGAATCTGCATGTGGTTATTTTGAGACATTTGTGGCCGATGGTGGAAAAGGAAATATCTTTCCCTAAAAATTACAGAGAAGCATTCTGAGAAACTTCTTTGTTATGTGTGCATTCATCTCACAGAGCTGAACTTTTCATTTGATTGAGCAGTTCTGAAACACTCTTTTTGTAAAATCTGCAATTGGATATTTGGAGCACTTTGAGACCTATTGTGGAAAAGGAAATATCTTCATATAAAAACTACATAGAAGCCTTCTCAGAAACGTCTTTGTGATGTGTGCATTCATCTCACAGTGTTGAACCTTTCTTTTGATTTAGCAGTTTGGAAACACTGTTTTAGTAGAATCTGCAGCTGGATATTTGGAGCCCTCAGAGCCATATTGTGGAAAAGGAAATATCTTCACATAACAACTACACAGAAGCATTCTGAGAAACTTCTTTTTGATGTGAACATTCATCTCACAGAGTTCAACCTTTCTTTTGATTGAGCATTTTGAAACTCTCTTTTTGTAGAATCTGCAAGTGGATAATTGGAGTGCTTTGAGGCCTATGATGGAAAAGTAAATATCTTCTCATAAAAACTACACAGAAACATTATGAGAAACTTCTTCGTAATGTGTGCATTCATCTCACAGAGTTGAACCTATCTTGTGATAAGCAGTTTTGAAACTTTCTTTTTTTATTATACTTTAAGTTTTAGGGTACATGTGCTCATTGTTCAGGTTTGTCACATATGTATACATGTGCCATTCTGGTGCGCTGCACCTACTAACTCGTCATCTAGCATTAGGTATATCTCCCAATGCTATCCCTCACCCCTCCCCCCACCCCACAACAGTCCCCAGAGTGTGATATTCCCCTTCCTGTGTTCATGTGATCTCACTGTTCAATTCCCACCTATGAGTGAGAATATGCGGTGTTTGGTTTTTTGTTCTTGCGATAGTTTACTGAGAATGATGATTTCCAATTTCATCCATGTCCCTACAAAGGACATGAACTCATTATTTTTTATGGCTGCATAGTATTCCATGGTGTATATGTGCCACATTTTCTTAATCCAGTCTATCATTGTTGGACGTTTGGGTTGGCTCCAAGTCTTTGCTATTGTGAATAATGCCACAATAAACATACGTGTGCATGTGTCTTTATAGCAGCATGATTTATATTCCTTTGGGTATATACCCAGTAATGGGATGACTGGGTCAAATGGTATTTCTAGTTTTAGATCACTGAGGAATCGCCACACTGACTTCCACAATGGTTGAACTAGTTTACAGTCCCACCAACAGTGTAAAAGTGTTCCTATTTCTCCACATCCTCTCCAGCACCTCTTGTTTCCTGACTTTTTAATGATTGCCATTCTTTTGTAGAATCTGCAAGTGGATAATTTGAACACTTTGAGGCCTATGATGGAAAAGGAAATATCTTCTCATAAAAACTACACAGAAGCATTCTGAGAAACTCCTTTGTGATGTGTGCATTCAACTGACAGACTTGAACCTATCTTCTGACAGAGCGGTTTTGAAACTCTCTTTTTGTAGAATCTGCAATTGGATATATGGAGCCCTTTGTGGCTTATGGTGGAAAAGGAAATATCTTCACATAAGAACTATACAAAAGCTTTCTGAGAAATTTCTTTTTGATGTGTGGATTCAGCTCACGAAGTTGAACCTCTCTTTTGATTGAGCAGTTTAGAAACACTCTTCTTAAAGTATCGGCAAGTGGATATATGAATGTTTTGAGGCCTATTGTTCAAAAGGAAATATCTTCACATAAAGCTACACAAAAGCATTCTGAGAAACTTCTTTGGGATGTGTGCATTCGTCTCACATATTTGAAACTTTCAATTGATTGAGCAGCGTTGAAACACTCTTTTTGTATAATCTGCAAGTGGATATTTGGAGCACTTTGAGTCCTATGTTGGAAAAGGAAATATCTTCACATAAAAACTACACTGAAGCTTTCTGAGAAAATTTTTGTGAAGTATGCATTCAACTCACAGAGTTGAACATATCTTTTCATAGAGCAGTCTTGAAACTCTCTTTACACATTATCTGCAAATGGATATTTGAAGCGCTTTCAGGTCCATAGCTGAAAAGAAATATCTTCTCATAAAAACTACACATAAGCATTCTGAGAAACATTTTTGTGATGTGTACATTCATCTCACGGAGTTGAAATTTTCTTTTGATAGAGTAGTTTTGAAACACTCTTTTTGTAGAATCTGCAGGTGGATATTTGCATCACATTGAGGCCTATCGTGGAAAAGGAAATATCTTCCCAAAAAACTACACAGAAGCATTCTCAGAAACTTCTTTGCAATGTGTGCCTTCATCTCAAAGGGTTGAAACTTTCTTTTGATTGAGCAGTTTTGAAACACTCTTTTCATAGAATCTGCAAGTGGATACTTGGAGCATTTTGAGGTCTATGGTGGAAAAGGAAATATCTTCAATTAAAAACCACACAGAAGCATTCTGAGAAATCAATTTGTGATGTATGCATTCAACTCGCAGAAATGAACCTATCTTTTGATAGAGCAGTCTTGAAACTCTCTTTTTGGAGAATCTGCAAGTGGTTATTTTGAGCCTTTTTTGGCCAATGGTGTAAAAGGTAATATCTTCACATAAAAACTACACAGAAGCATTCTGAGAAACTACTTTGTGATGTGTGCATTCATCTCACAGAGTTGAACCTATCTTTTGATAGAGTAGTTTTGAAACACTCTTTTTGTAGAATCTGCAAGTGGATATTTGGAGCCCTTTGTGGCCTATAGTGGAAAAGAATATATCTTAACATGAAAACTACAGAGAAGGATTCTGAGAAACTTCTTTGTGATATGTGCATTCACCTCACAGAGATGAATCTTTCCTTTGATTGAGCATTTTTGAAACACTTTTTTTGTAGAATCTGCAAGTGGATATTTTGATTGCTTTGAGGCTTATTGTGGAAAAGGCTATGTCCTTAAGTAAAAACTACACAGAAGCATTCCCAGAAACTTCTTTGTTTTGTGTGCATTCATCTAACAAAGTTGAACCTTTCTTTTGATTGATCAGTTTTGAAACACTCTTTCTGTAGAATCTGCAAGTGGATATTTGGAGCACTTTGAGGACTATGGTGGAAAAGGTAATATCTACCCATAAAAAATACACAGAAGCATTATAAGAAAGTTCTTTATGATGTGTGCATTCAACATTCAGAAATGAACCTATCTTTTGATTGAGCAGTTTTGAAACTCTCTTTTTGTACAATTTGCAAGTGGATATTTGGATTCCTTTGTGGCCTATGGTGGAAAAGGAAATATCTTAACATAAAAACTAGACAGAAGCATTCGGAGAAACTTCTTTGTGATGTTTGCATTCAACTCACAGAGTTGAACCTGTCTTTTGATAGAGCAGTTTTGAAACTTTATTTTTGTGGAAACTGCAAGTCGATATTTGGAGCACTTTGCAGCCTATTGTGGAAAAGGAAATGTCTTCACATAAAAACTACACAGAAGCATTCTGAGAAACTTCTTTGTGATGTGTGCATTCAACTCACAGAGTTGAACATATCTTTTAATAGAGCAGTTTTGAAACTCTTTTTGTAGAATCTGCAAGTGGATATTTGGATTCCTTTGCAGCCTATGGCGGAAAAGGAAATATCTTAACATAAAAACTAGACAGAAGCATTCTGAGAAACTTCTTCTTGATGTTTGCATTCATCTCACAGAGTTGAACCTATCTTTTGATAGAGCAGTTTTGAAACTCTCTTTTTGTAGAATCTGCAAGTGGGTATTTGGAGCCCTTTGCAGCCTTTTGGGCAAAAGGAAATGTCTTCCAATTAAAACTACACAGAAGCATTCTGAGAAACTTCTTTGTCATGTGAACATTCAACTCAAAATGTTGAACCTATGTTTTGAGACAGCAGTTTTGAAACACTCTTTGTAAGGCATCTGCAAGTGGATATTTGAAGTGCTTTGAGGCCTATTGTGGAAAAGGAAATATTTTCACATAAAAACTATAGAGAAGAACTCTGAGAAACTTCTTTGTGATGTTTGCATTCATATCACGTAGTTGAACCTCTCTTTTGATTGAGCAGTTTTGAAACAGTCTTTCTGTAGAACCTGCGGGTGGATATTTGGAGTGCTTTGAGGACTATTATGGAAAAGGAATTATCTCCACAAAAAAATCACACAGAAACATTGTGAGAAATTTTTTGTGATGTGTGCATTCATCTCACAGATTTGAACATTTCTTTTGATTTAGCAGTTTTGAAACATTCTTTTTGTAATGTATGAAAATGGATATTTTGAGCGCTTTTTGGCCTAAGGTAGAAAAGGAAATATCTTCACATAAAAACTACACAGAAGCATTCTGAGAAAGTACTTTGTGATGTGCGTATTCAACTCACAGAGGTGAACCTATCTTTTGATAGAGTAGTTTTGAAACTCTCTTTTTGTAGAATATGCAAGTGGATATTTTGGTCCCTTTGTGGCCTATCGTGGAAAGGAAATATCTTCACATAAAAACAACACAGAAGTATTCTGAGAAACGTCTTTGTGATGTGTGCATTCATCTCACAGAATTGAACCTTTCATTTGATTGCACAGTTTTGACACACTCTTTTTGTAGAAGCTGCAAGTGGATATTTGAAGCACTTTGAGGCCTATGTTGGAAAATGAACTATCTTCACATAAAAATTTCACAGAAGAATTCTGAGAAACATCTTTTTGATGTGTGCATTCAACTGTCAAATTGAACCTATCTTTTGATACAGCAGTTTTGAAACTCTCTTTTTGTAGCATCTGCATGTGGATATTTGGAGCCATTTGCAGCCTAAGGTGGAAAAGGTAATATCTTCACATAAAAACTACACAGAAGCATGGTACTGATACCAAAACAGAGGTATAGATCAATGGAACAGAATAGGGCCCTCAGAAATAATGCCACATATCTATAACTATCTGCTCTTTGACAAACCTGAGAAAAACAAGAAATAGGGACAGGATTCCCTATTCAACTAATGGTGCTGGGAAAACTGGCTAGCCATATGTAGAAAGCTGAAACTGGACCTCTTCCTTACACCTTATACAAAAATAAATTCAAGATGGATTAAAGATTTAAACATTAGACATAAAACCATAAAAACCATAGAAGAAAACGTAGGCATTACCATTCTGGACATATGCATGGCCAAAGACTTCATGTCTAAAACATCAAAAGCAATGGCAACAAAAGCCAAAATTGACAAATGGGATATAATTAAACTAAAGAGCTTCTGCACAGCAAAATAAACTACCAGCAGAGTGAACAGGCAACCTACACAATGGAGAAAATTTTGGCAACTTACTCATCTGACAAAGGGATAATATCCAGAATCTACAATGAACTCAAACAAATTTAGAAGAAAAAATAAACAACCCTATCAAAAAGTGGGCAAAGGACATGAACAGACACTTCTCAAAAGAAGACATTCATGCAGTCAAAAAACACATGAAAAAAATGCTCACCATCACTGGCTATCAGAGAAATGCAAATCAAAACCATAATGAGATACCATCTCACACCAGTTAGAATGGCAATCATTAAAATGTCAGGAAACAACAG
The DNA here is from genome assembly GCF_000001405.40 of Homo sapiens. Taxonomy (NCBI): domain Eukaryota; kingdom Metazoa; phylum Chordata; class Mammalia; order Primates; family Hominidae; genus Homo; species Homo sapiens. Next base: position 63,206 of record NT_187512.1, on the reverse strand, counting down.
GTGCTGGAGAGGATGTGGAGAAATAGGAACACTTTTATACTGTTGGTGGGAATGTAAACTAGTTCAACCATTGTGGAAGTCAGTGTGGCGATTCCTCAGGGATCTAGAACAAGAAGTACCTTTTGACCCAGCCATCCCATTACTGGACATATACCCAAAAGACTATAAATCATCCTGCTATAAAGACACATGCACACGCATGTTTATTGTGGCACTATTCACAATAGGAAAGACTTGGAACCAACCCAAATGTCCAACAATGATAGACTGGATTAAGAAAATGTGGCACATATACACCATGGAATACTATGCGGCCATAAAAAATGATGAGTTCATGTCCTTTGTAGGAACATGGATGAAATTAGAAATCATCATCCTCAGTAAACTATCGCAAGAATAAAAAACCAAACACCGCATATTCTCACTTATAGGAGGGAATTGAACAATGAGAACACATGGACACGGGAAGAGGAACATCACACTCTGGGGACTGTTGTGGGGTGGGGGGAGAGGTGAGCGATAGCTTCAGGAGATAAACCTAATGCTAAGTGACGAGTTAATGGATGCAGCACACCAATATGGCACATGTATACATATGTAACTAACCTGCAATTTGGGGAAATGTACCCTAAAATTTAAAGTGTAATAATAATAAAATAAAAAAACTACACAGAAGCATTCTGAGAAATTTCTTTGTGATGTGGGCATTCTTCTCACAGAGTTGAAACTTTCATTTGAATGAGCAGTTTTGAAACAATCTTTTTGTACAATCTGCAAGTGGATATTAGGAGAGCTTTGAGGCCTATGGTGGAAAAGGAAACATCTTCACATAAAAACTACACAGAAGCGTTCTGAGAAACTTCTTTGTGATGCGTGCATTCAACTCTTACAGTTGAACCTATCTTTTGATAGAGCAGTTTTGAAACTCACTTTTGTAGAATCTGCATGTGGATAGTGGCAGCGCTTTGAGGCCTATGTTGGAAAAGGAAATATCTTCACCTAACAACTGCACAGAAGCATTCTGAGAATCTCTGTTGTGATGTGTGCATTCATCTCACAGAGTTGAAACTTTGTTTTCATTGAGCAGTTCGGAAACACTCTTTTTGCAGAATCTGCAAGTGGATATTTGGAGCACTTTGAGGCCTATTATGGAAAAGGAAATGTCTTCACATAAATCTACACAGAAGCATTCTGAGAAACATCTGTCTGATGTGTGCATTCATCTCACAGAGTTGAAGCTTTCTTTGGATTTAGCAGTTTTGAAACACTCTTTTTGTAGAATCTGCAGGTGGATATTTGGAGCGCTTTGAGGCCTATGGTGGAAAAGGAAATATCTTCACACAAAAACTTCACAGAAGCATTCTGAGAAACTTCTTTGTGATGTGTGCATTCATCTCACAAGTTAAAATTTTCTTTTGATTGAGCAATTTGGAAACCCTCTTTTTGTTGAATCTGCAAGTGGATATTTGGAGCACTTTGAAGCCTATGGTGGAAAAGGAAACATCTTCATATAAAAACTCTACAGAAGCATTTTGAGAAACTTCTTTGTGGTGTGTGCATTCAACTCACAGAGTTGAACTTATCTTTTGATAGAGCAGTTTTGAAACTCTGTGTCGAATCTGCAAGTGGATATTGGGAGCCCTTTGCGTCCTATGGTGGAAAAGGAAATATCTTCACATAAAAACTACACAGAAGCATTCTGAGAAACTCATTTGTGATGTGCGCATTCCTCTCACAGAGGTGAACCTTCCTTTTTATTCAGCAATTTGGAAACACATCTTTTGTAGAACATTCAATTGGATATTTGGAGTGTTTTGTGGCCTATTATGGAAAATTAAATATCTTCACATAAAAACTACATAGAAGCATTCAGAGGCATTTCTTTGTGAAGTGTGCATTCAAGTCACAGAGTTGATCCCATCTTTTGAATGAGCAGATTTGAAACTCTCTTTCTGTAGAATCTGCAGGTGGATATTTGTTGTCCTTTGTGGCCTAAGGTGGAAGAGGAACCATATCCACATAAAAACGACACAGAAGCATTCTGAGAACCTTCTTTGTGATGTGTGCATCAGACATCGATTCATAGAGTTGAAGCTTTCTTTTGATTGAGGAGCTTTGAAACACTCTTCCTGTAGAATCTGCAAGTGGATATTTGGAGCACTTTGAGGCCTGTTGTAGAAAAGGAAATATATTCACATAAAAACTACACAAAAGCATTCTGAGAAATTTCCTGTGATGTGTGCATTCATCTTACAGATTTGAACATTTCTTTTGATTGAGCAGTTTTGAAACACACTTTTTATAGTATCTGCAAGTGTATATTTGGAGCGCTTTGAGGCCTATTGTGGAAAAGGAAGTATCTTCACATAAAAACTACGCAGAAGTATTTTGAGAAAGCTTTTTGTGAATTTTCACTCATCTCACAGAGTTAAACCTTTCTTTTGATCCAGCAGTTTTGAAACACTCTTTTTTTAGACTCTGCAAGTGGATATTTGGAGCGCTAGGAGGCGTATTGTGGAAAAGGAAATATCTGCACATAAAAACTACACAGAAGCATTCTGAGAAAGTTCTTATTGCTGTGTGCATTCAAATCACAGAGTTGAATCTGTCTTAGAATGAGCAGTTCTGAAAATCTCTTTTTGTAGAATCTGCAGGTGGATATTTGGATCCCTTTGTGGCCTGTGGTGGGAAAGGAAATATCGTCACAAACAAACTACACAGAAACATTCTGAAACACTTCTTTACAATGTGTGCATTCATCTCACAGAGTTGCATCTTTCCTTTGATTGAACAGTTTTGAAAAACTCTTTTTGTACAATCTGTAAGTGGATATTTGGAGCACTTTGAGGCCTCTTGTGGAAAAGGAAATATCTTCACATAAAAATTACACAGAAGCATTCTGAGAAACTTCTTTGTGTTGTGTCCATTCCTCTCAGGGTAGAACCTTTGTTTTGATTGAGTGGTATTGAGACACTCTTTTTGTAGAATCTGCAATTGGATATTTGGAGCGGTTTGAGTCCTATTGTGGAAAAAGAAATATCTTCCCCTAAAAACTAAACAGAAGTGTTCTGAAAAACTTCTTAGTGATGTGTGAATTGAACTCACATAGTTGAACCTATCTTTTGATAGAGCAGTTTTGAAACTCTTTTTGTAGAATCTGCAACTGGATATTTGGAGCCGTTTGTGGCCAATGGTGGAAAAGGAAATATCTTCACATAAAAACTACACAGAAGCATTCTGAGAAACTTTTTGTGATGTGTGCATTCAATTCACAGTGTTGATCCTATCTTTTGATACAGCAGTTTTGAAATTCTCTTTTTGTAGAATCTTCAAGTAGATATCTGAAGCCATTTTTGGCCTAAGGTGGAAAAAAAAATCTTCACATAAAAACTACATAGAAGCATTCTGAGAAACTTTTTTGTGATGTTTGCATTCAACTCACAGTGTTGAAGCAGTCTCTTGATAGAGCAGTTTTGAAACACTCTTTTGGTAGAATCTGCAAGTGGATATTTGGAGCGCTTTGAGTCCTATTGTGGAAAAGGCAATATCTTCACATAAAAACTACACAGAAGCATTCTGAGAAACTTCTTTGTGATGTGTGCCTTCAACTCACAGAGTTGAAGCTATCTTTTGATGAAGCAGTTTTGAAACTCCCATTTTGTAGGATCTGAAAGTGGATATTTTGAGCCCTTTATGCCCTTTTGTGGAAAAGGAAATATCTTCACATAAAAGCTGCCCAGAAGCATTCTGAGAAACTTCTTTTTGATGTATGCTTTCATCTCAGAGTGTTGAACATTTCTTTTGATTGAGCAGTTTGGAATCCCTCTTTTTGTAGAATCTGCAAGTGGAAGTTTGGAGCCCTTTGAGGCCTATGGTGGAAAAGGAAATATCTTCAAATAAAAACTACACAAAAACATTCTGAGAAACTGCTTTGTGTTGTGTGCATTCATCTCACAAGGTTGAACCTATCTTATGATTGAGCAGTTACAAAACACTCTTTTCGTAGAATCTGAAAGTGGATATTTGGAGCGCCTTGTTGCCTACAGTGGAGAATCAAATGTCTTCACATAAAAACAAGACAGAAGCATTCTCAGAACCTTCTTTGTGATGTATGCATTCATCCCATGGAGTTTAACTTTTCTTTTGATTGAGCACTTTTGAAACACTCTTTTTGAAGACTCTGCAAGTAGATATTTGGAGGCCTTTGATGCCTATTTTGGAAAAGGAAATATCTTCACATAAAAACTACACAGAGGCATTCTGAGAAACTTCTTTGTGATTTGTGCAGTCAACTAATGGAGTTGAAACTTCCTTTTTATAGAGCAGTGTTGAAGCGATCTTTTTGAAGAATTAGCAAGTGGATATTTGGAGAGCTTTGAGGCCTATGGTGGAAAAGGAAATATCTTCAAATAAAAACTATGCAGAAACATTCTGAGAAACTTCTTTGTGATGTGTGCATTCAACTCACAGGGGAGAGCCTATCTTTTGATTGAGCCGTTTTGAATCTCTTTTTTTGTATAATCTGCAAGTGGGTATTAAGAGCCCTTTGTGGTCCATGGTGGAAAAGAAAATATCTTCAAATAAAAACTACACAGAAGCATTCTGAGGAACTTCTTTGTGAGATGTGCACTCAACTCACAGAGTTGAACCTATCTTTTGATTGAGCAGTTTTTAATCTCTCTTTTTGTAGAAGCAGCATGTGGATATTTGAAGACCTTTGTGGCCTATGGTGGAAAACGAAATATCTTCAAATAAAAACTAGACAGAAGCATTTTGAGAAACTTCTCTGTGATGTGTGCATTCATATCACAGGGTTGAAACTACCTTTTGATTGAGCAGTTTTGAATCTCTTTTTTTGTAGAAGCTGCATGTGGATATTTGGAGACCTTTATGGCCTATGGTTGAAAAGGAAATATCTTCAAATAAAAACTAGACAGAAATATTTTGAGAAACTTCTCTGTGATGTGTGCATTCATATCACAGGGTTGAAACTAACTTTTGATTGAGCAGTTTTGAATCTCTCTTTTTGTACCATCTGCAAGTGGATATTTAGAGCCCTTTGCGGCCTATGGTGGAAAAGGAACTGTCCTCAAATAAAAACTACACAGAAGTATTCTGAGAAACTTCTTTGTGATGTGTGCATTCATCTCACAGAGTTGAACCTTTATTTTGACTGAGCAGTTTTGAGACAATCTTTCCATATAACCTGGAAGTGAATATTTGGAGGGCTTTGAGTTCTATTTTGGAAATGGAGATATCTTCATATGAAAACTACATAGAAGCATTCTGAGAAACATCTGTGTGAGGTGTGCACTGAAGTCACATTGTTGAACCTATCTTTTGATTCAGCAGTTTTGAATCTATCTTTTTGCAGAATCTGCGAGTGGATATTTGGAGCGCTTTGAGGCGTACTGTGGAAAATCAAATATCTTCACATAAAAACTACACAGAAGCATTCTGAGAAACTTCTTTGTGATGTGTGCATTCATCTCACAGAGTTGAATGTCTCTGTTGATTGAGCAGTTTTGAAACACTCTTTTTGTAGAATCTGAAAGTAGATATTTGGAGCTCATTGGGGCCTACTGTGGAAAAACAAATATCTTCACATAAAAACTACAAAGAAGCATTCTGAGAAACTTCTTTGTGATCTGTGCATTAATCTCACTGAGTTGAATCTTTCTTTTGATACAGCAGTTTTGAAACACTATTTTTTTAGAATCTGTAGGTGGATATTTGGAGCCTTTTGAGGCCTATAGTGGAGAAGGAAATATCTTCACATAAAAACTACGCAGAAGCATTCTGAGAAACTACTTTGTGATGTGTGCATTCATCTCACAGAGTAGAACCTTTCTTTTGATTGAGCAGTTTTGAAACACTCTTTTTGTAGAATCTGAAAGTGGATATTTAGAGCAATTTGAGGCTTATTGTGGAAAGAGAAATATCTTCAAATAAAAACTACCCAGAAGCATTCTGAGAAACTTATTTGTGATGTGTGCATTCAACTCACAGTGTTGAACCTATCTGTTGATTGAGCAGTTTAGAATCTCTCTTTTTGTAGAATCTGCAAGTGAATATTTGGAGCCCTATTTCACCCTATAGTGGAAAAGGAAATATCTTCAAATAGAAACTACACAGAAGCATTCAGGGAACCTAATTTCTGATGAGTGCATTCATCACAGAGTTGAACCTTTGTTTTGATTTAGCAGTTTTGAGGCAATCTTTCTGTAGAATCTGGAAGTAAATATTTGGAGGGCTTTGAATTCTGTTTTGGAGAAGGAGATATCTTCATATAAAAACTACACAGAAGCTTTCTGAGAAACACCTTTGTGAGGTGTGCATTGAAGTCACAGAGTTGAACCTATCTTTTGATTCAGCAGATTTTAATCTCTCTTTCTGCAGAATCTGTGAGTGGATATTTGGAGCGCTTTGAGGCCTACTGTGGAAAATCAAAAATCTTCACATAAAAACTACACAGAAGCATTTTGAGAAACTTCTTTGTGAGGTGTGCATTCAACTCACAGAGTTGAACTTATCTTTTCATTGAGAACTTTTGTATCTCTTTTTTGGTAGAATCTGCAAGTGGATATTTGGAGCTCTTTGCACCCTATGGTGGAAAAGGAAATATCTTCACATAAAAACTACACAGAAGCATTCAGAGAAACTTCTTTGTGATGAATGCTCTTTGCACCCTATGGTGGAAAAGGAAATATCTTCACATAAAAACTACACAGAAGCATTCAGAGAAACTTCTTTGTGATGAATGCATTCCTCACAGAGTTGAACCTTTCTTTTTATTGAGTAGTACTGAAACCCTCTTTTTGCAGAATCACCAATTGGATATTTGGAGAGCTTTGAGGCCTGTTTTGGGAAATGAAATATCTTCAAATTAAAACTACACAGAAGCATTCTGAGAAACTTCTTTGTGATGTGTGCATTCAACTCTCAGGGTTGCTCCTATCTTATGATTGAGCAGTTTTGAAACACTCGTTTTGTAGAATCTGCAAGTGGATATTTAGAGCGATTTGAGGCCTATTGTGGAAAAGAAAATATCTTGACATAAAAACTACACAGAAGCATTCTGAGTAACTTCTTTGGGAAGTGTGCATTCAACTAACAGTGTGGAACCTATCTTTTGATTGAGCAGCCTAGAATCTCTTTTTGTAGAATCTGCAAGTGGATATTTGGAGCCCCATTTCGCCCTATGGTGAAAAACGAAACATCTTCACATAAAAACTACACAGAAGCATTCTGAGAAACTTCTTTGTGATGTTTGCATTCAACTCACAGAGTCGAACCTATCTTTTGATAGAGCAGTTTTGAATCTCTCTTTTTGCAGAATCTGCAAGTGGATATTTGGAAAGCTTTGAGGCCTATTGTGGAAAAGGAAATATATTCACGTAAAAACTACAGAGAAGCATTCTGAGAAACTTCTTTGTGAGGTATGGATTCAACCCACAGAGTTGGACTTATCTTTTCATTGAGCAGTTTTGAATGTCTCTTTTTGTAGAATCTACAAGTGGATATTTGGAGCCCTTTGCAACTATGTTGGAAAAGGAAATAACTTCAAATAACAACTACACAGAAGCCTTCAGATAAACTTCTTTGTGATGAGTGCATTCATCCCACAGAGTTGAACCTTCCTTTTTATTGAGCAGTTTTGAAACACTATTTTTGCAGAATCAGCAAGTGGATATTTGGAGCACTTTGAGGCCTACTGTGGAAAAGCAAATATCTTCACCTAAAGACTACACGGAAGCATTCTGAGAAACTTCCTTGTGATGTGTGCATTCATCTCACAGAGTTGAACCTTTCTTTTGATTGAGCAGTTTTGAATCTCTCTTTTGGTAGAATCTCTAATTGGATATTTGGAGTGATTTGAGGCCTATTGCGGAGAAGGAAATATCTTCACATAAAATCTGTACAGAAGAATTCTGAGAAACTTCTCTGTGATGTGTGCTTTCAACTCACATAGTTGAACCTATCTATTGATTGAAACTCTTTGTAGATTCGGCAAGTGGATATTTGGAGCCCTTTGCAACCTATGGTGGAAAAGGAAATATCTTCAAATAAATAATGCGCAGAAGCATTCAAAGAAACTTCTTTGTGGTGAGTGCATTCATCACAGAGAGTTGAATCTTTCCTTTGATTGAGCAGTTTTGAAACACTCTTTTTGCAGGATCTGCAGGCAGATATTTTAGAACTTTGAGGCCAAATGTGGAAAAGGAAACATCTTCACATAAAAACTACACAGAAGCATTCTGAGAAGCTTCTTTGTGAGGTGTGCATTCAACTCTCAGTGTTGAACGTATCTTTTGATTCGGCAGTTTTGAATATCTGTTTTGTAGGATCTGCTACTGGATATTTGGAGCCCTTTGCAGCCAATGGAGGAAAAGGACATATCATCAAATAGAAACTACATAGAAGCATTCTGAGAAACGTCTTTGTGTTGTGTGCATTCATCTCACAGGGTTGAACACTTCCTTTCATGGAGCAGTTTTGAAACAGTATTTTTCCAGAATCTGCAAGTGGATATTTGGAGAGCTTTGAGACATGTTGTGGAAAAGGAAATATCTTCAAATAAAAACTACACAGAAGTATTCAGAGAAACTTCTTTATGATGAGTGCATTCATCACAGACTTGAAACTTTCTTTTGATTGAACAGTTTTGAAACTCTCCTTTTGTAGAAGATGGAAGTGGATATTTCAAGGTCTTTGAGGTTTATTTTGGAAACGGAAATATCCTCACATAAAAACTACATAGAAGCATTCTGACAAACTTCTCTGTTATGTGTTCATTCAACTCACAGTGTTGAACGAATTTTTTGATTGAGCAGTTTTCAATCCCTCCGTTTGTAGAATGTGGAAGTGGATATTTGGAGCTCTTTGCACCCTGTGTTGGAAAAGGAAATATCTTCAAATAAAAACTACACATAAGCATTCTGAAAAACTTCTTTGTGTTAAGTGCATTCATCACACAGAGTTGAAAGTTTCTTTTGATTGAGCAGTTTTGAAACACTCTTTTCGTAGAATCTGGAAGTGGATATTTGGAGGGCTTTGAGGCCTATTTTGGAAAAGGAAATATCTTAACATAAAAACTGCACAGAATTATTCGGAGAAACTCCTTTGTTATGTATGCATTCAACACACAGAGTTGAGCCTATCTTTTGATTGAGCAGTTTTGAGTCTCTTTTTGCAGAATCTGCAAGTGGATATTTGTATCGCTTTGAGGCCCACTGTGGAAAAGCAAATATTTTCAAATAAAGAGTACACAGAAGCATTCTGAGAAACTTTGTTGTGAGGTGTGCATTCAACTCACAGAGTTAAACCCATCTTTTGATTGAGCAGTTTTGAATCTCTCTTTTTGCAGAATCTGAAGTGGATATTTGGAGTGCTTTGTGGCCTATTGTGGAAAAGGAAATATCTTCACATAAACACTACACAGAGGCATTCTGAGAAACTTCTTTGTGATGTGTGCATTCAACTGACAGAGTTGAACCTATCTTTTGATTGGGCAGTTTTGAATCTCTCTTTTTGTAGAATCTCTAATTGGATATTTGGAGCAATTTCAGGCCTATTGTGGAAAAGGAAATATCTTCACATAAAAACTACACAGAGGCATTCTGAGAAACTTCTTTGTGATGTGTGCATTCAACTGACAGATTTGAACCTATCTTTTGATTGAGCAGTTTTGAATCTCTCTTTTTGTAGCATCTGCAGGTGGAATTTTGGAGCCCTTTGCAGCCTACGTTGGAAAAGGAAATATCTTCAAATAAAAACTACACAGAATCATTCTGGGAAACATCTTTGTGATGAGTGTATTCATCACAAAGGGTTGAATCTTTCTATTGACTGAGTAATTTGGAAACACTTTTTTTGTAGAACCTGGAAGTGGAAATTTGACGAGCTTTGTGGTCTATTTTGGAAAAGACAATATCTTCAGATAAAAACTACACAGAAGCTTTCTGGGAAACATCGTTGTTATACGTGCATTCAAGTCACAGATTTTAACCATTCTTTTGATAGAGCAGTTTTGAAACTCTCTTTTTGTAGAATCTGCAAGTGGATATTTGGAGGTCTTTGTGGCCTATGTTAGAAAACGAAATACCCTCACATAAAATCTATACAGAAGCTATCTGAGAAATTTGTTTGTGATGCATGCGTTCTTCTCACAAAGTTGAACCTTTCTTTTGATTGAGCACTTTCAAAACACTCTTTTTGTAGAATCTGCAAGTGGATATTTGAAGCGCTTTGTGGCCTATGGTAGAAAAGGAAATATCTTCACATAATTTGTAGACAGAAGCAAACTGAGAAACTTCTTTGTGATGTGTGTATTCATGTCACAGAGTTAAAACTTTCTTTTGATTGAGCAGTTTTGAAACTCTCTCTTTGTGACAGTCCACCTGCAGACTCCACAAAAAGATTGTTTCCAAACTTCTCATTCAAAAAAATGCTCAATTCTGTGAGATGAACACACACATCACAAAGAAGTTTCTCAGAATTCTTCTGTCTAGTTTTTAGGTGAAGATATTTCTTTTTCCACTATAGGCCTCAAAGCGCTCCAAATGTCCACTTGCAGATTATACAAAAAGAGAGTTAAAAAACTGATTAAACAAATGAGAGGTTTAACTCTGTGAGATGAATTCACACACCACAAAGAAGTTTCTCAGATTGCTTCTGTCTACATTCTATGTGAAGATATTTCCTTTTCTAAGATAGGCAGCAAAGCGTTCCAAATGCCCACATGCAGATTCTACAAAAAGAGTGTTTCCAAACTGCTGAATCAAAAGAAAGGATCAACTCGGTGAGATGAACGCACGCATCAAAGCGAAGTTTCTCAGAATTCTTCTGTCTAGTTTTTATGTGAATATAGTTCCTTTTCCACCATAGGCTTCAAAGCACTCCAAATGTGCACTTGCAGATTCTGGAAAAAAAAAGTTTCCAAACTGCTCAATCAAAAGAAAGGTTTAACTCTGTGAGACGAATGCACACATTACAAAGTAGTTTCTCAGATTGCTTCGGTCTAGATTTTTTGTGAAGATATTTTCTCTTATAACATAGGCCGCAAAGCACACAAAATGTCCATTTGCAGATTCTACAAAAAGAGTATTTCCAAACTGCTCAATCAAAAGGAAGTTTCAACTCTGTGAGATGAATGCACACATCACAAAGAAGTTTCTCAGAATTCTTCTGTCTAGTTTTTATGTGAAGATATTTCCTTTCCCACTATAGGCCTCAAAGCGCTCAAAATATGCAATTTCAGATTCTACAAAAAGAGAGTTTCAAAATTCCTCAATCAAAAGAAATATTTAACTCTGTGAGATGAATGCACACATCACAAATAAGTTTTTCAGAATTCTTCTGTCTAGTCTTTATGTGAAGATATTTCCTTTTCCACAATGGTCCTCAAAGCCCTCCAAATGTCCACTTGCAGATTCTATGAAAGGAGAGTTTCGAAACTCCTCAATCAAAAGAAGGTTTAACTCTTTGAGGTGAATGAACACTTCACTAAGAAGTTTCTCAGATTACTTCTGTCTAGATTTTATGTGAAGATATTTCCTTTTCTAACGTAGGCCGGAAGGTGCTCCAAATGTCCACTTGCAGAATCTACAAAAAGAGTGTTTACAAACTGCTAAATCAAAAGAAAGATTCAACTGTGTGAGATGAATGCCAGCATCACAAAGAAGTTTCTCAGAAATCTTCTGTCTAGTTTTTATGTGAAGATATTTCCTTTTCCACCATAGGCCTAAAAACGATCACACACATCACAAAGAAGTTTCTCAGGATTCTTCTACCTAGTTTTTATTTGAAGATATTTCCTTTTCCACCATAGGTGTCCAAGCTCTCCAAATGTCCATTTGCAGATTCTACAAAAAGAGAGTTTCAAAACTCCCAATCAAAAGAAATGTTTAAATTTTTGAGGTAAATGCACACATCAGAAAGAAGTTTCTCAGAAATCTGTCTAGTTTTTATGTGAAGATATTTCCTTTTCCATCATAGGCCTCAAGGCACTCCAAACGTCTACTTGCTGATTCTTCAAAAAGAGAGTTTCAAAATTGCTCAATAAAAAGACAATTTTAACTCTGTGAGATGAATGCACACATCACAAAGTAGTTTCTCAGACTGCTTCTGTCTTGATTTAATGTAAAGATATTTCTTTTATTCAATAAACTGCAAAGCTCTCCAAAAGTCCACTAGCCGCTTTGACAAAAAGACTGTTTCCATACTGCTCAAGAAAATAAAGGTTCAACTTTGTGGGATGAACACACACATCACAAAGAAGTTTCTCAGAATTCTTCTGCCTAGTTTTTATGTGAAGATATTTCCTTTTCCACCATAGGCCTCCAAGTACTCCAAATGGCCACTTGCAGATTCTACAAAAAGAGAGTTTCAAAACTGCTCAATCAAAAGAAAGGTTTAACTCTCTGGAATGAATGTACACATCTCAAAAAAGTTTCTCAGATTGCTTCTGTCTAGATTTTATGTGAAGATTTTTCCTTTTATACCATAGGCTGCAAAGCTCTCCAAATGTCCAATTGCAGATTCTACAAAAAGAGTGTTTCCAAACTGCTCAATCAAAGGAAAGGTTGAACTTTGTGAGATGAATGGACACATCACAAACAAGTTTCTCAGAATTCTTCTGCCTATTTTTTATTTGATATTTCCTTTTCCACCATGGGCCTCAAAGCCCTCCAAATGTCCACTTACAGATTCTACAAAAACAGTGTCTCCATACTGCTCAATAAAAAGAAAGTGTCAACTCCTTGAGAGGAATGCACACATCACAAAGCCGTTCCTCAGAATTCTTCTGTCTTGTTTTTATGTGAAGATATTTCCTTTTCAACCATACACCACAAAGTACTCCAAATGTCTGCTTGCGGCTTCTACAAAAAGAGAGTTTCCAAAATGCACAATCAAAAAAAAAAGGTTTAATTATGTAAGTTGAATGCACATATCTCAAAGAAGTTTCTCAGATTGCTTCTGTCTAGATTTTTTGTGAAGATTTTCTTTTTTACTACCATAGGCTGCAAAGCGCTCCAAATGTCCAATAGCAGATTCTACAAAAAGAGTGTTTCCAAACTGCTCAGTCAAAGGAAAGGTTCTACTCTGCGAGATGAATGCACACATCACCAAGAAGTTTCTCAGAATTCTTCTGCCTAGTTTTTATGTTAAGATATTTCCTTTTCCACCATGGTCCTCAAAGCGCTCCAAATGTAAACTTGCAGACTCTACAAAAAGAGAGCTTTGAATCTCCTCAATCAAAGGAAAGTTTTAACTCTTTGAGGTTAATGCACACATCACAAAGGAGTTTCTCAGATTGCTTCTGTCTAGATTTTATGTGAGGATCTTACCTTTTCTGACATAGGCCGCAAAGCGCTCCAAATGTCCACTTGCAGAATCTACTAAAAGATTGTTTCCAAAATGCTGAATCAAAAGAAAGTTTCAACTCGGTGAGATGTACCTACACATAACAGTGAAGTTTCTCAGAATTCTTCTGTCTAGTTTTTATGTGAAAATATTTCGTTTTCCACCATTAGTCCTCAAAGCACTTCAAATGTCCACTTGCATATTCTACAGAAAGAGAGCCTGAAAACTCCTCAATGAAAAGAAATATTTAACACTGTGACATAAGTGCACACATCACAAAGTAGTTTCTCAGATTTCTTCTGTCTAGATTTTATGTGAAGGTATTTCCTTTTCTAACATAGGCCACAAGGTGCTCCAAATGTCCACTTGCAGATTCTACAAAAAGAGTGTTTCCAAACTGCTCTATCAAAAGTAAGGTTCAACTCTGTGACATGAACGCACACATCACAAGGAAGTTTCTCAGAATTCTTCTGTCTAGTATTTATGTGACGATATTTCCTTTTCCACCGTAGACCTCAAAGCGCTCCAAATATCTACTTGCAGATTCTACAGACAGAGAATTTCAAAACTGCTCAATCAAAAGAAAGGTTTAACTCTGTGTGATGAATGCACACATCTCAAAGAAGTTTCTCAGAATGCTTCTGTATAGATTTTATGTGAAGATATTTCCTTTTCTATATAGGCCGCAAAGCGCTCCAAACGTCCACTTGCAGAATCTAGAAAAAGAGTGTTTCCAAACTGCTGAATCAAAAGAAAGTTTCACTCTGATGGAAGTTTCTTTTACTGTGCAGAAGCTCTTTAGTTTAATTAGATCCCATTTGTCAATTTTGGCTTTCGTTGCCATTGCTTTTGGTGTTTTAGACATGAAGTACTTGCCCATGCCTATGTCCTGAATGGTAATGACTAGGTTTTCTTCTAGGGTTTTTATGGTTTTAGGTCCAAAGTTTAAGTCTTTAATCCGTCTTGAATTAATTTTTGTATAAGGTGTAAGGAAGGAATCCAGTTTCAGCTTTCTACATATGGCTAGCCTGTTTTCCCAGCACCATTTATTAAATAGGGAATCCTTTCTCCATTGCTTGTTTTTCTCAGGTTTGTCAAAGATCAGATAGTTGTAGATATACAGCGTTATTTCTGAGGGCTCTGTTCTGTTCCATTCATATATATCTCTGTTTTGCTACCAAAACCATGCTGTTTGGGTTACTGTAGCCTTGTGGTATAGTTTGAAGTCAGGTGGCATGATGCCTCCTGCTTTGCTCTTTTGGCCTAGGATTGATTTGTGATGCGGGCTCTTTTTTGGTTCCATATGAACTTTAAAGTAGTTTTTTTCCAATTTTGTGAGGAAAGTCATCGGTAGCTTGATGGGGATGGCATTGAATCTATAAATTACTTTTGGCAGTATGGCCATTTTCACGATATTGATTCTTCCTACCCATGAGGATGGAATGTTCTTCCATTTGTTTGTATCCTCTTTTATTTCATGAGCCATAGTTTGTAGTTCTCCTTGAAGAGGTCCTCCACATCCCTTGTAAATTGGATTCCTAGGTATTTTATTCTCTTTGTAGCAATTGTGAATGGGAGTTCACTCTTGATTTGGCTCTCTGTTTTTCTGTTATTGGTGTGTAAGAATGCTTGTGATTTTTGTACATTGAGTTTGTATCTTGAGACTTTGCTGAAGTTGCTTATCAACTTAAGGAGATTTTGGGCTGAGACTATCAGGTTTTCTAGATATACAATCATGTCGTCTGCAAACAGGGACAATTTGACTTTCTCTTTTCCTGAATGAATACCCTTTGTTTCCTTCTCCTGCCTAATTGCCCTGGCCAGAACTTCCAACTCTATGTTGAATAGAAGTGGTGAGAGAGGGCATCCCTGTCTTGTGCCAGTTTTCAAAGGGAATGCTTCCAGTGTTTACCCATTCAGTATGATATTGGCTGTGGGTTTGTCATAGATAGCTCTTATTATTTTGAGATACGTCCTATCAATACATAATTTATTGAGAGTTTTTAGCATGAAGCGTTGTTGAATGTTGTCAAAGGCTTTTTCTGCATCTGTTGAGATAATAGTGTGGTTTTTGTCTTTGGTTTTGTTTAAATACTGGATTACATTTATTGATTTGCAACCCACAAAATAGGAGAAAGTTTTTGCAACCTACTCATCTGACAAAGGGCTAATATCCAGAATCTACAATGAACTCAAATTTACAAGGAAAAAAAACAACACCATCAAAAAGATGGTGAAGTACATGAACAGACACTTCTCAAAAGAATACATTTATGCAGCCAAAAAACACATGAAGAAATGCTCACTATCACTGGCCATCAGAGAAATGCAAATCAAAACCACAATGAGATATCATCTCACACCTGTTAGAATGGCAATCATTAAAAAGTCAGGAAACAACAGGTGCTGCAGGGGATGTGAAGAAATAGGAACACTTTTACACTGTTGGTAGGACTGTAAACATGTTCATCCATTGTGGCAGTCCATGTGGCGATTCCTCAGGGATCTAGAACTAGAATTAACATTTGACCCAGCCATCCCATTACTGGGTATATACCCAAAGGACTGTAAATCATGCTGCTATAAAGACACATGCATGCGTATGTTTATTGCAGCACTATTCACAATAACAAAGACTTGGAACCAACTCAGATGTCCAACAATGATAGACTGGATTAAGAAAATGTGGCACATATACACCATGGAATACTATGCAGCCACAAAAAAAGATGAGTTTATGTCCTTTGTAGGGACATGATGAAATTGGAAATCATCATTCTCAGTAAACTATCGCAAGAACAAAAAACCAAACACCGCATATTCTCACTCATAGGTGGGAATTGAACAATGAGATCACATGGACACAGGAAGGGGAAGATCACACTCTGGGGACTGTTGTGGGGTCGGGGGAGGGGGGAGAAATAGCATTGGGAGATATAACTAATGCTAGATGACGACTTAGTGGGTGCAGCGCACCAGCATGTCACATGTATACATATGTAACTAATTTGAATATTGTGCACAGGTACCCTAAAACATAAAGTATACTAATAAAAAAAGGAAAGGTTCAACTCTGTGAGATGAATGCACACATCACAAAGAAGTTACTCAGATTGCTTCTGTCTAGATTTTATGTGAAGATATTTCCTTTTCTACCATAGGTCCCAAAGCGCTCCAAATGTGCACTTGCAGATTCTACAAAAAGAGTGTTTCCAAGCTGCTCAATCAAAAGAAAGCTTCAACTTTGTGAGATGAACGCCCACATCACAAAGAAGTTTCTAAGAATTCTTCCGTCTAGTTTTTATGTGGAGATATTTCCTTTCCCACTATAGGCCTCAAATCGCTCCAAATGTCCAATTGCAGATTCTACAAACAGAGTTTCAAAACACCTCAATCATACAGACACTTCTCAAAAGAAGACATTTATGCAGCCAAAAAACACATGAAGAAATGCTAATCATCACTGGCCATCAGAGAAATGCAAATCAAAA
>NT_187512.1:20005-44211 GCF_000001405.40 Homo sapiens | reverse complement strand
AGTTTCTCAGAATGTTTCTATGTAGTTTTTATGTGAAGATATTTCCTTTTTCAACATAGGCCTCAAAGCACTCCAAATGCCCACTTGCAGATTCTACAAAAAGAGGGTTTCAAAACTGCTCAATCAACACAAAATTTTAACACTGTGAGATGAAAGCACACACCACAAAGTTTTTCAGATTGCTTGTGTCTAGATTTTATGGGAAGATATTTCCTTTTCTACCATAGCCTGCTAAGCGCTCCAAATATCCACTTCCAGATTCTACAAAGAGTGTTTCCAAACTGCATAATCAAAAGAAAGGTTCAGCTCTGTGATATAAACGTACACATCACAAAGCAGTTTCTCACCATTCTTCTGTCTAGTTTTTATGTGATGATACTTCCTACTCCACCATAGGCCTCAAAGCGCTCCAAGTGTCCACTTGCAGATCCTACAGAAAGAGAGTTTCAGAACGGCTCAATCAAAAGAAAGGTTTAATTCTGTGAGGTGAATGCACACATCAAAAAGAAGTTTCTCAAATTGCTTCGGTCTAGATTTTATGTGAAGATATTTCCTTTTTTAACATAGGCCAAAAAGCGCTTCAAATGTCCACTTGCAGATTCTACAAAAAGAGAGTTTCAAAACTGCTCCATCAAAAGAAAGACTCAACTATGTGAGGTGAATGCCCACATCACAAAGAAGTTTCTCAGATTGATTCTGTGTAGATTTTATGTTAAGATATTTCATTCTTTTTACCATAGGCCACAAATCGCTCAAAATGTTCACTTGCAGATTCTAAAAAAAGAGTGTTCGAAACTGCTCTATCAAAAGAAAAGTTCACCTCTGTGAGATGAACGCACACATCAAGAAGAAGTTCGTCAGAATTCTTCTGTCTCGTTTTCATATGAAGATATTTCCTTTTCCATCACAGGCCTCAAAGACCTCCAAATGTCCACTTGTAGATTCTACAAAAGAGAGTTTCAAAACTGCTCAATCAAAAGAAATGTTTAAATCTGTGAGATGAATGCACACATTACAAAGAAGTTTCTCAGATTGCTTCAGTCTAGATTTTTGTGAAAATATTTCCTTTTCTATCATAGGCCATAAAGCGCTCCAAATGTCCACTTGCCGATTCTACATAAAGAGTGTTTCCAAACAGCTGAATCAAAAGAAAGTTTCAATTCCCTGAGATGAAGACACACATCACAAAACAGTTTCTCAGAATTCTTCTGTCTAGTTTTTATGTGAAGATATTTCCTTTCAACCATACGGCTCAAGAAGCTCGAAAGTTCCACTTGCACATTCTATAAAAGAGTATTTCAAAACTAGTCCTTTGAAAGAATGTTTCAACTCTGGGAGATGAATGCACATATCACAAAGAAGTTTGTCAGAATGCTTCTATCAAGATTTTATGTGAAGACATTTCCTTTTCTACCGTAGGCTTAAAAATGCTCCAAATATCCACTTGCAGATTCTATAAAAAGAGAGTTTCAAAACTGCTCAATCAAAAGAAAATGTTAACTCTGTGAGATTAATGCACACATCACAAAGAAGTTTCTCAGATTGCTTCTTTCTAGATTTGATGTGTAGATATTCCCTTTTTACCATTGGCCGCAAAGCGCACCAAATTTTCATTTGCAGATTCTACAAAAAGAGTTTTTACAAAATGCTCAATCAAAAGAAAGGTTCAACTCCGTGAGATGAATGCACACATCACAAAGAAGTTTCCCAGAATTCTTCTGTCTAGTTTTTATGTGAAGATATTTCCTTTCCCACCACAGGTCTCAAAGTGCTCCAAATGTACACTTGCAGATTCTACCAAAACAGATTTTCAAAACTGCTCAACCAAAAGAAAGGTTTAACTCTCTTAGATGAATGCACACATCACTAGCAAGTTTCTCAGGTTGCTTCTGTCTGGATTTTATGTGAAGATATTTTCTTTCCTACCATAGACCCCAAAGAACTCCAAATGTCCACTTGCAGATCCACAAAAAGAGTGTTTCCAAACTGCTCAATCAAAAGAAAGGTTCAACTCTGTGAGATGAATGCACGCATTACAAAGAAGTTTCTCAGAATTCTTCTGTCTAGTTTTTATGTGAAGATATTTTCATTTCCACTAGAGGCCTTAAAGCCCTCCAAATATCCACTTGCAGATTCTCCAAAAAGAGAGTTTCAAAACTTCTCAATCAAAAGAAAGCTTTAACACTCTGAGGTGAATGCACACATCACAAAGAAGTTTCTCTGATTTTTTACGTCCAGATTTTATGTGAAGATAGTCCCTTTGCTACCATAGGTGACAAAGCACTCCAAATGTCCACTTGCAGATTCTACAAAAAGACAGTTTCCAAACTTCTCAATCTAAAGAATGGTTCAACTCTGTGAGACGAACGCACACTTCACATAGAAGTTGCTCAGAATACTTCTCTCTAGTTTTTTTGTTGAGGATATTTCATTTTCCACAATAGGCCTCAAGGTGGTCGAAATGTCAAATTGCAAATTCTACAAAAAGATTATTTCAAAAGTGGTCCATCAATAGAAATGTTCAACTCT
The DNA here is from genome assembly GCF_000001405.40 of Homo sapiens. Classification (NCBI taxonomy): domain Eukaryota; kingdom Metazoa; phylum Chordata; class Mammalia; order Primates; family Hominidae; genus Homo; species Homo sapiens. The sequence goes on along the minus strand of NT_187512.1, from coordinate 41,682 downwards.
GGGAAATGAATGCACACATCACCAAGCGGTTTCTCAGAATGTTTCTATCTAGTTTTTATGTGAATATATTTTCTTTTGCAACATTGGCCTCGAGGTGCTCCAAATGTCCACTTGCAGATTTTATAAAAAGAGAGTTTTAAAAATGCTCAATCAAAAGAAATGTTTAACTCTGTGAGATGAATGTACACAACAAAAAGACGTTCCTCAGATTGCTTCTTTCTAGATTTAATGTGAAGATAATTCCTTTTCCACCACAGGCCACAAAACTCTCCTAATGTCCACTGGCAGATTCTACAAAAAGAGTGTTTCCAATCTGCTCAATCAAAAGAAAGGTTCAACTCTGTCAGATGAACGCTGGCATCACAAAGAATTTTCTCAAAATTCTTCTGTCTACTTTTTATGTGAAGATATTTCCTTTTCTTCCACAGGCCTAAAAGCACTCCAAATGTCCACTTGCAGATTCTCCAAAAAGAGACTGCCAAAACTGCTAAATCAAAAGGAAGGTTTAACTCTGTGAGATGAATGCACACATCACAAAAAGTTTCTCAGATTGCTTCTGTCTAGATTTTATGTGAAGTTATTTCCTTTTCTACCATAGAACCCGAAGCGCTTTTAATGTCCCCTTGCAGATTCTACATAAAGAGTTTTTCAAAACTGCTCAATCAAAAGAAAGGTTCAACTCTGTGAGATGAATGCATGCATCACAAAGAAGTTTCTCAGAATACTTCTGTCTAGTTTTTATGTGAAGATATTTCCTTTTCTACCATAGTTCTCAAAGTGATTAAAATGTCCACTTGCAAATTCTACAAAAAGAGAGTCTCAAAACCGCTCAATCAAAAGAAAGGTTTATCTCTGTGAGATGAATGCACACTTCACAAATAAGTTTCTAAGATTTCTTCTGTCTAGGTTTTATGTGATGATATTTCCTTTTCTACCATACGTAGCAAACCACTCAAAATGTCCACTTGTAGATTCTACAAAAAGAGAGTTTCCAAACTGCTCAATCAGAAGAAAGGTTAACTCTGTGAGATGAAGGCACACATCACAAAAAAGTTTCTCAGAATTCTTCTGTCCAGTTTTAATGTGAAGATATTTCCTTTTGCACCAGAAGCCTCAAGGTAATCGAAATGTGCCCTTGCAGATTCTACAAAAAGAGTAATTCAAAACTGGTCCGTCAAAACAAAGGTTCAACACTAGGAAATAAATGCACACATCACAAAGAAGCTTCTCAGAATGCTTCTATCTAGTTTTTATGTGAAGATATTTCCTTTTCCACCGTAGGCCTCAAAGCGCTCCAAATGTCCACTTGCAGGTTCTGCAAAAAGAGAGTTTCCAAAGTGCTCAATCAAAAGAAACGGTTAACTCTGTGAGATAAATGCACACATCACAAATAAGTTTCTCAGAATTCTTCTGTCTAGATTTTATGTGAAGATATTTCGTGTTCCACCATAGGCCTCAAGGTGCTTGAAATGTCCACTTTCAGACTCTACAAAAAGTGTATTTCAAAACTGCTTAATCAAAAGAATGGTTTAACACTGTCAGATGTATGCACACATCACAAATAAGTTTCTCAGAATTCTTCTGTCTAGTTTTTATGTGAAGATATTTCTGTTTCCATCATAGACCACAAACGGCTCCAAATGTCCACTTGCAGATACTATATAAAGAGAGTTTGAAAACTCCTCAAACAAAAGAAAGGTTTAACTCTGTGAGATCAATGCACACATCACAAAAGGTTTCTCAGACGGTTTCTGTCTAGATCTTATGTGAAGTTATTTCCTTTTCCACCATAGAACCAAAGCACTCCAAATGTCCCCTTGCAGATTCTACAAAAACAGTGTTTCAAAACTGCTCAATCAGGAGAAAGGTTCAACTCTGTGAGATAAACGCAAGCATCACAAGAAAAGTTTATCAGAATTCTTCTGTTTAGTTTTGATGTGAAGATATTTCATTTTCCACCATAGGACAAAAGGCGCTCGAAATGCCCCCTGGCAGATTCTACAAAAGGAGTATTTCAAACTTGGTCCATCAAAAGAAAGGTTCAACTTATTGAGATGAATGCACACATCACAAAGAAGTTTCTCAGAATTCTTCTGTCTAGTGTTTATGTGAAGATATTTTCTTTTCCACCATAGGCCTCAAGGTGCTCGAAATGTCCACTTGCGGATTCTGCAAAAAGAGTATTTCAAAACTGGTACATCAAAAGAAAGGTTCAACTCATGGAGATGAAGGCACCCATCACAAAGAAGTTTCTCTGAATTCTTCAATCTTGTTTTTATGCGAACACATTTCCTTTTCCACAATAGGCCTCAAAGTGCTCCAAATGTCCACTTGCAGATCCTACAAAAAGAGAGTTTTAAAACTGCTCAATGAAAAGAAAGGTTTAACATTGTGAGATGAATGCAGACATCACAAAGAAGTTTCTCAGATTGCTTCTGTCTAGATTTTATGTTAAGATATTTCCTTCTGTACCATAGGCCTCAAATCGCTCCAAATGTCCACATGCAGATTCTACAAAAAGAGTGTTTCCAAACTGCTCAATCAAACAAAGGTTCAACTCTGTGAGATGAACACACACATTAAAAAGAAGTTTTTCAGAATTCTTCTGTCTAGTTTTTATGTGAACATATTTCCTTTTCAAACTTAGGCCTCTATGTTCTCTCAATGTCCAATTGCAGATTCAACAAAAAGAGAGATTCAAAACTGCTCAATCAAAAGAAAGGCTTCACTCAGTGAGATGAATGCACACGTCACTGAGAAGTTTATATGATTGCTTCTGTCAAGACTTTATGTGAAGATATTTCCTTTTCCACCTTAGGCTTCAAAGTGCTCCCAATGTCCAATTGCAGATTCAACAAAAAGAGAGTTACAAAACTCTCACTCAAAAGAAAGGTATCACTCAGTGAGATGAATGCACACATCACAGAGAAGTTTCTAAGATTGCTTCTCTCAAGATTTTATGTGAAGATATTTCCTTTTCTACTGTAGTCCGCAAAGTGCTCCAAATGTCCAATGGGAGATTTTACAAAAGAGTGTCTCCAAACTGATCAATCAAAATAAAGTTTCAGCTCTGTGAGATGAACGCATGCTTCACAAAGAAGTTACTCAGAATTCCTCTGTCTAGTTTTTATGTGAAGGTATTTTTTTTCTACCATAGGCCACAAAGGGCTCTTAATCTCCAATTGCAGGTTCTACAAAAGAGAGTTTCAAAACTGCTCAATCAAAAGAAAGGTTTAACTCTGTGACATGAATGCACACATCACAAATAAGTTTCTCAGATTATTTCTGTCTAGATTTTAAGTGAAGATATATCCTTTTCTACCATAGGCCCCAAGGCACTCCAAATGTCCACTTGCAGATTCTACAAAAAGAGTATTTCAAAACTGGTACATCAAAAGGAAGGTTCAAGTCCTGGAGATGAATGCACACAACACAAAGAAGTTGCTCTGAATGCTTCAATCTTGTTTTTATGTGAAGATATTTCGTATTCCACCATAGGATTCAAAGCACTCCAATTGTCCACTTGCAGATCCTACAAAAAGAGAGTTTTAAAACTGCTTAGTCAAAAGAAATGTTTAACTCTCTGAGATAAAGGCAAATATCACAAAGAAGTTTCTCAGATTGCTTCTGTCTAGATTTTATGTGAAGATAGTTCCTTTTCTACCATGGGCCTCAAATCGCTCCAAAAGTCCACATGCACATTCTACAAAAGATTGTTTCCTAACTGCTCAATCAAAAGAAATGTTCAACTCTGTGAGATGAATGCACACATCACAAAGAAGGTTCTCAGAATTCTTCTGTCTAGTTTTTATGTGAACATATTTCCTTTCACATCTTAGGCCTCAAAGCGCTCCCAATGTCAATTTGCAGATTCAACAAAAAGAAAATTTCAAAACTACTCCATCAAAAGAAAGGTTTCACTCTTTGAGATGAATGCACCCATCACAAAGAAATTTCTCAGATTGCTTCTGTCTAGATTTTCTGTGAAGAGATTTCCTTTTCTACCAAAGGCCACAAAGCGCACAAAATGTCCACTGGCAGATCCTACAAAAAAAGAGTTTCAAACTGCACAATCAAAAGATAGTTTCAACTCTGTGATATGACCGCACAAATCACAAAGAAGTTTCTCAAAATTCTTCTGTCTCCTTTTAATGTGAAAGTATTTCTTTTCCCTCTACATGCCTCAAGATGCTCGAAACGTCCACTTGCAGATTCTACAAAAAGAGGATTTCAAAACTGGTCCATTAAAAGAAAGGTTCAACTCTGGGAGATGAATACACACATCATGAAGAAGTTACTCAGAATGCTTCTGTCTAGTTTTTATTGAAGACATTTCGTTTTCCACCATCAGCCTCAAAGCCCTCAAAATATCCACTTGCAGATTACACAAAAAGAGAGTTTCAAAACTGCTCAAACAAAAGAAAGGTTTAACTCTGGAATATGAAGGCACACGTCACAAAGAAGTTTTTCAGATAGTTTCTGTCGAGATTTTAATTGTAGATATTTCCTTTTCTACCATAGGCTTCAAAACGCTCCAAATATCCACTTGCAGATTCTACAGAAAGAGTGTTTCCATACTGTTCAATCAAACAAAGGTTCAACTCTGTCAGATGAATGCACACATAAAAAAGAAGTTTCTCAGAATACTTCTGCCTAGTTTTTATGTGAAGATATTTCCTTTTCCACCTTAGGCCTCAAAGTTCTCCCAATGTCCAATTGCAGATTCAACAAAAAGAGAGTTTCAAAACTGCAGAATCAAAAGAAAGGTTTCACTCAGTGAGATGAATGCACACATCACAGAGAAGTTTCTAAGATTGCTTCTCTCAAGATTTTATGTGAAAATATTTCCCTTTCTGCCGTAGGCTGCAAAGGGCTCCCAATGTCCACTGAGAGATTTTACAAAAGGGTATCTCTAAACTGCTCAATCAAAAAAAAGGTTCAACTCTGTGAGATGAACGCATGCTTCACAAAGAAGTTACTCAGAAGTCTTCTGTCTAGTTTTTATGTGAAGATATTTCGTTTTCCACCATAGGCCTCAAAGGGCTCTTAATCTCCACTTGCAGATTCTACAAAGGAGAGTTTCAAAACTGCTCAATCAAAAGAAAGTTTTAACTCTGTGACATCAATGTACACATCACAAAGAAGTTTCTCAGATTGCTTTTGTCTAGATTTTAAATGAAGATGTGTCCTTTTCTACCATAGGCCCCAATGCGTTCCAAATGTTGAGATGAATGCACACATCACAAAGAAGTTTCTCAGATTGCTTCTGTCTAGATTTTATGTGAAGATATTTCCTTTTGTACCGCAGGCCTCAAATCGCTCCAAATGTCCACATGCAGATTCTCCGAGAGGAGTATTTCCAAACTGCTCAATCAAAAGAAAGGTTCAACTCTGTGAGACGAACGCACACATCATAAAGAAGTTTCTCAGAATTCTTCTGTCTAGTTTTTATGTGAACATATTTCCTTTTCCACCTTAGGCCTCAAAGCACTCCCAATGTCAATTTGCAGATTCCACAAAAAGAAAATTTCAAAACTACTCCATCAAAAGAATGGTTTCACTGTGTGAGATGAATGCACACATCACAAAGAAATTTCTCAGATTGCTTCTGTCTTGATTTTCTGTGAAGAGATTTCCTTTTCTACCTTAGGCCACAAAGCACACCAAATGTCCACTGGCAGATTCTACAAAAAGAGTGTTTCCAAACTGCTCAATCAAAAGAAAGGTTCAACTCTGTGATATGAATGCACAAATCACAAAGAAGTTTCTCAGAATTCTTCTGTCTCATTTTTATGTGAAAGTATTTCTTTTCCCTCTACAGGCCTCAAGGTGCTCATAATGTCCACTTGCAGATTCTACAAAAAGAGTATATCAAAACTGGTCCATTAATAGAAAGGTTCAACTATGGCAGATGAATACACACATCACGAAGTAGTTATTCAGAATGTTTCTATCTAGTGTTTATTGAAGATATTTCCTTTTCCACCATCGGCCTCCAAGCCCTCCAAATGTCCACTTGCAGAATACACATAAAGAGAGTTTCAAAACTGCTAAATCAAAGGAAATGTTTAACTCTGGAATATGAATGCACACGTCGCAAAGAAGTTCTTCAGATAGTTTCTGTCTAGATTTTATGTGTAGATATTTCCTTTTCTACCATAGGCTGCAAAACGCTACAAATATCCACTTGCAGATTCTACAAAAAGAGTGTTTCCATACTGCTGAATCAAACAAAGTTTCAACTCTGTGAGATGAACGCACACATAAAAAAGATGCTTCTCAGAATTCTTCTGTCTAGTTTTTATGTGAAGATATTTCCTTTTCCACGACAGGCCTCAAAGTGCTCCCAATGTCCAATTGCAGATTCAACAAAAAGAGAATTTTAAAACTGCTCAATCAAAAGAAAGGTTTCACTCAGTGAGGTGAATGCACACATCACAGAAGTTTCTAAGATTGCTTCTGTCAAGATTTTATGTGAAGATATTTCCTTTTCTACCATAGGCCTCAAATCGCTCCAAATGTCCACATGCAGATTCTACAAAAAGATTGTTTCCAAACTGCTCAGTCAAAAGAAATGTTCAACTATCTGAGATGAATGCACACATCACAAAGAAGTTTCTCAGAATTCTTCTGTCTAGTTTTTATGTGAACATATTTCCTTTTGCACCTTAGGCCTCAAAGCGCTCCAAATGTCCACTTGCAGATCCTACAAAAAGAGAGTTTTAAAACTGCTCAATCAAAAGAAAGGTTTAACTCTTTGAGATAAATGCACGTATCATTAAGAAGATTCTCAGAATTATTCTGTCTCGTTTTTATGTGAACATATTTCCTTTTCCACCTTAGGCCTCAAAGCGCTCCCAATGTCAATTTGCAGATTCCACAAAAAGAAAATTTCAAAAGTACTCCATCAAAGGAAAGGTTTCACTCTTTCAGATGAATGCACACATCACAAAGAAGTTTCTCAGATTTCTTCTATCAAGATTTTATGTGAAGATACTTCCTTTTCTACCGTAGGCCGCAAAGTGCTCCCAATGTCCACTGGGAGATTTTACAGAAGGGTTTCTCTAAACTGCTCAATCAAAAGAAAGGTTCACCTCTGTGAGATGAATGCATGCTTCACAAAGAAGTTACTCAGAAATCTTCTGTCTAGTTTTTATGTGAAGATATTTCGTTTTCCACCATAGGCCTCAAAGGAGTCTTAATCTCCACAAGCAGATTCTACAAAAGAGTGTTTCAAAACTGCAGAATCAAAAGAAAGGTTTAACTCTGTGACATGAATGCACACATCAGAAAGAAGTTTCTCAGATTGCTTTTGTCTAGATTTTAAATGAAGATATATCCTTTTCTACCATAGGCCCCAACGCACTCCAAATGTCCACTTGCAGATTCTACAAAAAGACTATTTCAAAACTGGTAAATCAAAAGGAAGTTTCAACTCTTGGAGATGAATGCACACATCACAAAGAAGTTTCTCTGAATGCTTCAATCTTGTTTTTATGTGAAGATATTTCCTTTTTCACCATAGGCCTCAAAGCACTCCAAATGTCCACTTGCAGATCCTAAAAAAGAGTTTCCAAACTGCACAATCAAAAGAAAGTTTCAACCCTGTGATATGAATGCTCAAATCACAAAGAAGTTTCTCAAAATTCTTCTGTCTCATTTTAATGTGAAAATATTTCTTTTCCCTCTAGAGGCCTCAAGGTGCTCGAAATGTCCACTTGCAGATTCTACAGAAAGAGTGTTTCCATACTGCTCAATCAAACAAAGGTTCAACTCTCTGTGATGAACGCACACATAAAAAAGAAGTTTCGCAGAGTTGTTCTGTCTAGTTTTTATGTGAAGATATTTCCCTTTCCACCTTAGGCCTCAAAGTGCTCCCAATGTCCAATTGCAGATTCAACAAAAAGAGAGTTTCAAAACTGCTCACTCAAAAGAAAGGTTTCACTCAGTGAGATGAATGCACACATCACAGAGAAGTTTCTAAGATTGCTTCTGTCAAGATTTTATGTGAAGATATTTCCTTTTCTACCGTAGGCCATAAAGCGCTCCAAATGTCCACTGGGAGATTTTATAAAAGGTTGTCTCCAAACTGGTCAATCAAAAGAAAGGTTCAACTCTGTGAGATGAATGCATGCATCACAAAGAAGTTGCTCAGAATTCTTCTGTCTAGTTTTTATGTGAAGATATTTCGTTTTCCACCATAGGCCTCAAAGGGATGTTAGTCTCCAATTGCAGTTCCTACAAAAGAGAGTTTGAAAACTGCTCAATCAAAAGAAAGGTTTAACTCTGTGACATGAATGCACACATCACAAAGAAGTTTCTCAGATTACTTCTGTCTAGATTTTAAGTGAAGATATATCCTTTTCTACCATAGGCGCCAAAGCGCTCCAAATGTCCACTTGCAGATTCTACAAAAAGAGTATTTCAAAACTGGTACATCAAAAGGAAGGTTCAACTCTTGGAGATGAATGCACACATCACAAAGAAGTTGCTGTGAGTGCTTCAATCTTTTTTTATGTGAAGATATGTCCTTTTCCAGCATTGGCCTCAAAGCGCTCCAAATGTCCACTTGCAGATCCTACAAAAGGAGAGCTTTAAAACTGCTCAAATAAAAGAAAGGTTTAACTCTGTGAGATAAATGCACATATCACAAAGAAGTTTCTCAGATTGCTTCTGTCTAGATTTTACGTGAAGATAGTTCCTTTTCTACCATGGGCCTCAAATCGCTCCAAATGTCCACATGCAGATTCTACAAAAAGATTGTTTCCAAACTGCTCAATCAAAAGAAATGTTCAACTCTGTGAGATGAATGCACACATCACAAAGAGTTTTAAAACTGCTCAATCAAAAGAAAGGTTTAACTCTTTGAGATAAATGCACATATCACAAAGAAGGTTCTCAGAATTCTTCTGTCTAGTTTTTATGTGAACATATTTCCTTTTCCACCTTAGGCCTCAAAGTGCTCCCAATGTCAATTTGCAGATTCCACAAAAAGAAAATTTCAAAACTACTCCATCAAAAGAAAGGTTTCACTCTTTCAGATGAATGCACACATCACAAAGTAGTTTCTCTGATTTCTTCTGTCAAGATTTTATGTGAAGATATTTCCTTTTCTACCGTAGGCCACAAAGTGCTTCCAATGTCCACTGGGAGATTTTACAGAAGGGTGTCTCTAAACTGCTCAATCAAAAGAAAGGTTCAACTCTGTGAGATGAACGCATGCTTCACAAATAAGTTACTCAGAAGTCTTCTGTCTAGTTTTTATGTGAAGATATTTCGTTTTCCACCATAGGCCTCAAAGGGCTCTTAATCTCCACTTGCAGATTCTACAAAAGAGTGTTTCAAAACTGCTGAAACAAAAGAAAGTTTTAACTCTGTGACATGAATGCACACATCACAAAGAAGTTTCTCAGATTGCTTTTGTCTAGATTTTAAATGAAGATATATCCTTTTCTACCATAGGCCCCAAGGCGCTCCAAATGTCCACTTGCAGATTCAACAAAAATAGTATTTCAAAACTGGTACATCAAAAGGAAGTTTCGACTCTTGGAGATGAATGGACACATCACAAAGAAGTTTCTCAGATTACTTCTGTCTAGATTTTAAGTTAAAATATATCCTTTTCTACCATAGGACCCAAGGCACTCCAAATGTCCACTTGCAGATTCTGCAAAAAGAGTGTTTCAAAGCTGGTACATCAAAAGGAAGGTTCAACTCTTGGAGATGAATGCACACATCACAAAAAAGTTTCTCTGAATGCTTCAATCTTGTTTTTATGTGAAGATATTTCCTTTTCCTCCATAGGCCTCAAAGCGCTCCAAATGTCCACTTGCAGATCCTACAAAAAGAGAGTTTCCAAATTGCACAATCAAAAGAAAGTTTCAACTCTGTGATATGAATGCACAAATCACAAAGAAGTTTCTCAAAATTATTCTGTCTCGTTTTAGTGTGAAAGTATTTATTTTCCCTCTACAGCCCTCAAGGTGCTCGAAATGTCCACTTGCAGATTCTACAAAAAGAGTATTTCAAAACTGGTCCATTAAAAGAAAGGTTCAACTCTGTGAGATGAATGCACACATCACAAAGAAGGTTCTCAGAATTCTTCTGTCTAGTTTTTACGTGAACATATTTCCTTTTCCACCTTAAGCCTCAAAGCACTCCCAATGTCAATTTGCAGATTTCACAAAAAGAAAATTTTAAAACTACTCCATCAAAAGAAAGATTTCACTGTGTGAGGTGAATGTACACATCACAGAGAAATTTCTCAGATTGCTTCTGTCTTGATTTTCTGTGAAGACATTTCTTTTTCTACCATAGACTGCAAAGCACTCCACATGTCCACTGGCAGATTCTACAAAAAGAGTGTTTCCAAACTGCTCAATCAAAAGAAAGGTTCAACTCTGTGGTATGAATACACAAATCTCAAAGAAGTTTCACAGAATTCTTCTGTCTCATTTATATTTGAAAGCATTTCTTTCCCACTACAGGCCTCAAGGTGCTCGTAATGTCCAATTGTAGATACTACAAAAAGAGTATTTGAAAACTGGCCCATTAATAGAAAGGTTCAACTATGGGAGGTGAATACACACATCGTGAAGAAGTTATTCAGAATGCTTCTATCTAGTGTTTATTGAAGATATTTCCATTTCCACCATCGGCCTCAAAGCCCACCAAATGTCCACTTGCAGAATGCACATAAAGAGATTTTCAAAACTGCTAAATCAAAGGAAAGGTTTAACTCTGGGATATGAATGCACACGTCACAAAGAAGTTTTTCGGATAGTTTCTGTCTAGATTTTAAGTGAAGATATTTCCTTTTGTACCATAGGTTGCAAAACGCTCCAAATGTCCACTGGCAGATCCTACAAAAAGAATGTTTCCAAACTGCTCAATCAAAAGAAAGGTTCAACTCTGTGATATGAATACACAAATCACAAAGAAGTTTCTCAGAATTCTTCTGTCTCGTTTTTATGTGAAAGTATTTCCTTTCCCTCTATAGGCCTCAAGGTGTTCGTAATGTCCACTTGCAGATACTACAAAAAGAGTATTTCAAAACTGGTAAATTAATAGAAAGGTTCAACTATGGGAGATGAATACACACATCACGAAGAAGTTATTCAGAATGCTTCCATCTAGTGTTTGTTGAAGCTATTTCCTTTTCCACCATTGGCCTCCAAGCCCTCCAAATGTCCACTTGCAGAATACACATAAAGAGAGTTTCAAAACCGCTAAATCAAAGGAAAGGTTTAACTCTGGAATATGAATACACACGTCACAAAGAAGTTTTTCAGATAGGATCTGTCTAGATTTTATGTGTGGATATTTCCTTTTCTACCATAGGCTGCAAAACGCTCCAAATGTCCACTTGCACATTCTACAAAAAGAGTGTTTCCATACTGCTCAATCAAACAAAGTTTCAACTCTGTGAGATGAACGCACACATAAAAAAGAAGTTTCTCAGAATTCTTCTGTGTAGTTTTTATGTGAGGTTATTTCCTTTTCCACCTTAGGCCTCAAAGTGCTCCCAATGTCCAATTGCAGATTCAACAAAAAGAGAGTTTCAAAACTGCTCACTCAAAAGAAAGGTTTCACTCAGTGAGATAAATGCACACATCACAGAGAAGTTTCTAAGATTGCTTCTGTCAAGATTTTATGTGAAGATATTTCTTTTTCTACCGTAGGTCGCAAAGTGCTCCCAATGTCCACTGGGACATTTTACAAAAGGGTGTCTCCAAACTGCTCAATTAAAAGAAAGGTTCAACTCTGTGAGATGAACGCATGCTTCACAAAGAAGTTACTCAGAATACTTCTGTTTAGTTTTTATGTGAAGATATTTCGTTTTCCACCACAGGCCTCAAAGGGCTATTAATCTCCACTTGCAGGTTCTACAAAAGAGAGTTTCAAAAGTGCTCAATCAAAAGAAAGGTTTGACTCTGTGACACGAATGCACACATCACAGAGAAGTTTCTCAGATTACTTCTGTCTAGATTTTAAGTGAAGATATATCCTTTTCTACCATAGGCCCCAAGGCACTCCAAATGTCCACTTGCAGATTCTACAAAAAGAGAATTTCAAAACTGGTACATCAAAAGGAAGGTTCAACTCTTGGAGATGAATGCACACATCACAAAGAAGTTGCTCTGAATGCTTCAATCTTGTTTTTATGTGAAGATATTTCGTTTTCCACCATAGGATTCAAAGCGCTCCAATTGTCCACTTGCAGATCCTACAAAAAGAGAGTTTTAAAACTGCTTAATCAAAAGAAATATTTAACTCTCTGAGATAAAGGCAAATATCACAAAGAAGTTTCTCAGATTGCTTCTGTCTAGATTTTATGTGAAGATATTTCCCTTTCTACCATAGGCCTCAAATCGCTCCAAATATCCATATGCAGATCCTACAAAAAGTTTGTTTCCAAACTGTTCAATAAAAAGAAATATTCAACTTTGTGAAATGAATGCACACATCATAAAGAATGTTCTCAGAATTCTTCTGTCTAGTTTTTATGTGAACATATTTCCTTTTCCACCTTAGGCCTCAAAGCACTCCTAATGTCAATTTGCAGATTCCACAAAAAGAAAATTTCAAAACTACTCCATCAAAAGAAAGGTTTCACTCTTTGAGATGAATGCACACATCACAAAGAAGTTTCTCAGATTGCTTCTGTCTAGATTTTCTGTGAAGAGATTTCATTTCCTACCATAGGCCACAAAGTGCACCAAATATCCACTGGCAGATTCTACAAAATAGAGTTTCAAACTGCACAATCAAAAGTAAGTTTCTACTCTGTGATATGAATGCACAAATCACAAGTAAGTTTCTCAAAATTCTTCTGTATCCTTTTAATGTGAAAGTATTTCTTTTCCCTCTACAGGCCTCAAGGTGCCCAAAATGTCCAATTGCAGATTCTACAAAAAGAGTATTTCAAAACTGGTCCATTAAAAGAAAGGTTCAACTCTGGGAGATGAAAACACACATAAAGAAGAAGTTATTCAGAATGCTTCTGTCTAGATTTTATTGAAGATATTTCCTTTTCCACCATCAGCCTCAAAGCCCTCAAAATGTCCACTTGCAGATTACACAAAAAGAGAGTTTCAAAATTGGTGAACCAAAAGAAAAGTTTAACTCTGGAATATGAATGCACACGTCACAAAAGGAGTTTTTCAGATAGTTTCTGTCTTGATTTTATGTGTAGATATTTCCTTTACTACCATAGGCTGCAAAACGCTCCAAATGTCCACTTGCAGATTCCACAGAACGAGTGCTTGCATACTGCTCAATCAAACAAAGGTTCAACTCTGTCAGATGAATGCACACATAACAAAGAAGTTTCTCAGAATTCTTCTGTCTAGATTTTATGTGAAGATGTTTCCTTTTCCACCTTAGGCCTCAAAGTGTCCCAGTGTCCAATTGCAGATTCAATAAAAAGAGAGTTTCAAAACTGCTCAATCAAAAGAAAGGTTTCACTCAGTGAGATGAATGCACACATCACAGAGACGTTTCTAAGATAGCTTCTGTCAAGATTTTATGTGAAGATATTTCCTTTTCTACCGTAGGCTGCAATGCGCTCCAAAAGTCCACTGGGAGATTTTACAAAAGGGTGTCTCTAAACTGCTCAATCAAAAGAAAGTTCAACTCTGTGAGATGAACGCATGCTTCACAAAGAAGTTACTCAGTATTCTTCTGTCTAGTTTTTATGTGAAGATATTTCGTTTTCCACCATAGGCCTCAAAGGGCTCTTAATCTCCACTTGAAGATTTTACAAAATAGAATTTCAAAACTGCTCAATCAAAGGAAAGTTTTAACTCTGTGGCATGAATGCACACATCACAAAGAAGTTTCTCAGATTGCTTTTTTCTAGATTTTAAATGAAGATATATCCTTTTCTACCATAGGCCCCAAGGAGCTCCAAATGTCCACTTGCAGATTCTACAAAAAGAGTGTTTCCATACTGCTCAATCAAACAAAGGTTGAACTCTGTCAGATGAATGCACACATCAGAAAGAAGTTTCTCAGAATTCCTCTGTCTAGTTTTTGTGTGATGATATTTCCTTTTCCACCACAGGCCTCAAAGTGCTCCCAATGTCCAATTGCAGATTCAACAAAAAGAGAGTTTCAAAACTGCTCAATCAAAAGAAAGGATTCACTCAGTGAGATGAATGCACACATCACAGAGAGGTTTCTAAGATTGCTTCTGTCAAGATTTTATTTGAAGATATTTCCTTTTCTACTGTAGGCTGCAATGCGCTCCAAATGTCCACTGGGAGATTTTACAAAAGGGTGTCTCCAAACTGCTCAATCAAAAGAAAGGTTCAACTCTGTGAGATGAACGCATGCTTCACAAAGAAGTTAGTCAGAATTCTTCTGTCTAGTTTTCATGGGAAGATATTTCGTTTTCCACCATAGGCCTCAAAGGGTTCTTAATCTCCCCTTGCAGGTTCTACAAAAGAGAGATTCAAAACTGGTCAATCAAAAGAAAGGGTTAACTCTGTCAGATGAATGCCTACATCACAAAGAAGTTCCTCAGATTACTTCTGTCTAGATTTTAAGTGAAGATATATCCTTTTCTACCATAGGCCCCTAGGCGCTCCAAATGTACACTTGCAGATTCTACAAAAAGAGAATTTCAAAACTGGTACATCAAAGGAAGCTTCAACTCTTGGAGATGAATGCACACATCAGAAAGAAGTTTCTCTGAATGCTTCAATCTTATTTTTATGTGAAGATATTTCCTTTTCCACCATAGGCCTCAAACCGCTCCAAATGTCCACATGCAGATCCTACAAAAAGAGAGTTTTAAAACTGCTCAATCAAAAGAAAGGTTTAACTCTGTGAAATAAATGCACATATCACAAAGAAGTTTCTCAGATTGCTTCTGTCTAGATTTTATGTGAAGATAGTTCCTTTTCTACCATAGGCCTCAAATCGCTCCAAATATCCACATGCAGATTTTGCAAAAAGATTGTTTCCAAACTGCTCAATCAAAAGAAATGTTCAAATCTGTGAGATGAATGCGCACATCACAAAGAAGGTTCTTAGAATTCTTCTGACTAGTTTTTATGTGAACATATTTCCTTTTCCACCTTAGTCCTCAAAGCGCTCCCAATGTCAATTTGTAGATTCCACAAAAAGAAAATTTCAAAACTACTCCATCAAAAGAAAGTTTTCACTCTTTGAGATGAATGCACACATCACAAAGAAGTTTCTCAGATTGCTTCTGTCTAGATTTTCTGTGAAGAGATTTCCTTTTCTACCATAGGCTGCAAAGCACACCAAATGTCCACTGGCAGATTCTACAAAAAGAGAGTTTCCAAACTGCACAATCAAAAGAAAGTTTCAACTCTGTGATATGAACGCACAAATCACAAAGAAGTTTCTCAAAATTCTTCTTTCTCGTTTTAATGTGAAAGTATTTCTTTTCCCTCAACGGGCCTCAAGGTGCTCAAAATGTCCACTTGCAGATTCTACAAAAAGAGGATTTCAAATCTGGTCCATTAAAAGAAAGATTCGAATCTGGGAGATGAATTTACACATCACGAAGAAGTTATTCAGAATGCTTCTGTCTAGTTTTTATTGAAGATATTTCGTTTTCCACCATAGGCCTCAAGGAGCTCCAAACGTCCATTTGCAGATTCCACAAAAAGATTACTTCAAAACTGGTCCATCAAAAGAAATGTTGAACTCTGGGAGATGAATGCACACATCACAAAGAAGTTCCTCAGAATGCTTCTAACTAGTTTTTATCTGAAGATATTTCTTTTCCTCCATAGGCCTCAAAATGCTCCAAATATATTCCTGCAGATTCTGCAGAAAGAGTGTTTCCAAACTGCTCAATAAAAGAAAGATTCAACTCTGTGAGATGAACACACACATCAAAAAGAAGTTTCTCAAAAATCCTCCGTTTAGATTTTATGTGAAGATATTTCCATTTCCGTCATGGGTCTCAATGTGCTTTAAACGTCCACTAGCAGATTCTAAAAAAAAAAAAAAACTGCTCAATCAAAAAGAAAGGTTTAACTCTATGACATGAATGCACACATCACAATGAAGTTTCTCAGATTGCTTCTGTCTAGATTTTATGTGAAGATATATACTTTCTTATCATAGGTCTCAAAGTGCTCCAAATATCCACTTGCAGATTCTACAAAAGAAAGTATCAAAACTGCTCTTTCAAAGGAAATTATAACTCTGTGAGATGAACGCAGACATCACAGGGAAGTTTCTCAGATTGCTTCTGTCTAGATTTTATGTGAAGATATTTCCTTTTCTACCATAGGCCACAAAGCCCTCCAAATGTCAACTTGCAGATTCTACAAAAACAGTTTCAAAACTGCTCAATCAAAAGAAAGGTTTAACTCTGTGAGATGAATGCACACATCAGAAAGAATTTTCTCTGATTGCTTCTGTCTAGATTTTATGTGAAGATATTTCCTTTTCTACCATAGGCTGCAAAGCGCTCAGAATGTCCACTTGCAGATTGTACAAAAATTATGTTTCCAAACTGCTCAATGAAAAGAAAGTTACAACTCTGTGAGATGAACGGATACATCACAAAGAAGTTTCTCAGATTTCTTCTGTCTAGTTTTTATGTGAAGATATTTCCTTTTCCACTATAGGCCTGAAAACGCTGCACTTGTCTACGTCCAGATTCTACAAAAAGAGAGTTTCAAAACTGCTCAATTAAAAAATGGTTTTAACTCTGTGAGATGAATGCACACATCACAAAGAAGTTCCTCATGTTGCTTCTGTCTAGATTTTTTGTGAAGATATTTCCTTTTCTACCATAGGCTGCAAAGTGCACCAAATGTCCCCTTTCAGATTCAACAAAAAGAGTGTTTCCAAACTGCTCAATCAAAAGAAATGTTCAACTCTGTGAGATGAGTGCACGCATCACAAAGAAGCTTCTCAGAATTCTTCTGTCTAGTTTTTATGTGAAGGTGTTTCATTTTCCACAATAGGCCTCAAGGTGCTCAAAAT
Source organism: Homo sapiens (assembly GCF_000001405.40). Lineage (NCBI taxonomy): Eukaryota > Metazoa > Chordata > Mammalia > Primates > Hominidae > Homo > Homo sapiens. The sequence continues at coordinate 24,705 of NT_187512.1, read as the reverse complement.
CTCCACTTGCAGATTCAACAAAAAGAGTATTCCAAAACTGATCCATCAAAAGAAAGCTTAAATTCTGGGAGATGAATGCACACATCATGAAGAAGTTTCTCAGATTTCTTCTGTCTGGATTTTATGTGAAGATATTTCCTTTTCTACCATAGACCACAAAGCACTCCAAATCTCCACTTGCAGGTTCTAAAAATGTAGTGTTTCCAAACTGCTCATTGAAAAGAACGGTTCAACTCTGTAAGATGAACGCACACATAACAAAGAAGTTTCTCAGAATTCTTCTGTCTGGTGTTTATATGAAGATATTTTCTTTTCCACCATAAGCCTCAAGGCACTTGAAATGTCCACTTGCAGATTCTACGAAAAGAGTATTTAAAAACTGGTCCTTCAAAAGAAAGGTTCAACTCTTGAGATGAATGCACACATCACGAAGAAGTTTCTCAGAATATTTCTATCTGGTTTTTATGTGAAGATATTTCCTTTTCCACCATAGGCTTCAAATCGCACCAAATGTCCACTTACAGATTCTACAAAAAAGAGAGTTTCAAAACTGCTCAATCAAAAGAAAGGCTTAACTCTGTGAGATAAATGAACACATCACAAGGAAGTTTCTCGGATTGCTTCTGTCTAGATTTTATGTGAAGATATTTCCTTTTCCAGCATAGGCCTCAAGGCGCACAAAATATCCGCTTGCAGATTCTTCAAAAAGAGGATTTCAAAAGTGGTCCTTCAAAAGAAAGATTCAACTTTGAGATATGAATGCACACATCACAAAGAGGTTTCTCAGAATGCTTCTGTCCAGTTTTTATGTGAAGATATTTTCTTTTTCACCATAGGCCTCAAGATGCTCAAAATGTCCACTTGCAGATTATACAAAAAGAGTATTTCAAAACTGGTCCTTCAAAAGAAATGCTCAACTCAAGGAGATGAATACACATATCACAAGGAAGTTTCTCAGAAAGCCTCTACCTGGTTTTTATTTGAAGATATTTAGTTTTACACTATAGGCTTGAAAGTGCTCCAAACGTCCACTTGCAGATTCTACAAAAAGAGAGCTTCAAAACTGCTCCATCAAAAGAAAGGTTCAACTCTATATGATGAACGTACGAATCACAAAGAAGTTTATCAGAATTCTTCTGTTTAGTTTTCATGTGAAGGTATTTCCTTCTCCACTGTAGGCCTCATATCACTCCAAATGTCCAGTTTCAGGATCTACAAAAAGAGAGTTTCAAAACTGCTTCATCAAAAGAAATGTTTAACTCTGTGAGGTGAATGCACACATCACAAAGAAGTTTCTCAGATTGCTTCTGTCTAGATTTTATGTGAAGATATTTCCTTTGTTACCATAGGCTGCAAAGCGCTCAAAATGTCCACTTGCAAATTCTACAAAAAGAGTGTTTGAAAACTGCTCAATCAAAAGAAAGGTTCAACTCTGTGAGATGAACACACACATCACAAAAAAAGTTTCTCAGATTTCTTCTGTCTTGTTTTTATGGTAAGATATTTCCTTTTCGACCATAGGCCTTAAAGCACTCCCAATTTCCTATTGCAGATTCAACAAAAAGAGTTTCAGAACTGCTCAATCAAAAGAAAGGTTTCACTCTCTGAGATGAATGCATACATCACAAAGAAGTTTCTCAGATTGCTTCTCTCTAGATTTTATGCGAAGATATTTCCTTTTCCACCATAGGCCTCAAAGTGCTCCAAATGTCCACTTGCAGATTCTACCAATAGTGCATTTCTAAACTGCTCAATCAAAGGAAGTTTAAACTATGTGAGATGAATGCACACATCGCAAAGAAGTTTCTCAGTTTGCTTCTCTCTAGATTTTATGTGAAGATACTTCCTTTTCTACCATAGGCCTCAAAGCTCTCAAAATGTCCACTTGATTCTACAAAAGGAGTATTTCAAAACTGCTCAATCGAAAAATCTCCAACTCTGTGAGATGCATGGATACATCACAAAGAATTTTCTCAGAATGCTTCTGTCTAGTTTTTATGTGAAGATATTTCCTTTTCCAAAAAAGGCCTCAAAGCACTCCAAATATCCACTTGCAGATTCTAAAAAAGAATGTTTCAAAACTGCTCAACATAAGAAAATTTCAACTCTGTCACGTGAATGCACACATGACAAAGAAGTTGCTGAGAATGTTTCTGTCTAGTTTTTATATGAAGATATTTCCTTTTCCACTATAGGCAGTATAGCACTCCAAATGTCCATTTGCAGATTCTACAAAAAGAGTGTTTCCAAACTGCTCATTCAAAAGAAAGTTTCGAGTCTGTGAGATGAGTGCACACATCATAAAGAAGTTTCTCAGAATGCTTCTGTCTAGTTTTTATTTGAAGATATTTTCTTTTCCACCATAGACCTCTAAGCGTTCCAAATGACCAATTGCAGATTCTAAAAATGAGTTTTTGAAAACTGTTCAATCGAAAGAAAGGTTCAACTCTCTAAGATGAATGCACATATCACAAAGAATTTTCACAGAATGATTCTGTCTAGTTTTTATGTGAAGATATTTCCTTTTCCACCATAAGCCCCAAAGCGATCCAAATGTACACTTTCAGATACTACAAAAAGAGTGTTCTAAAACTGCTCAATCAAAAGAAAGTTTCAGCTTTGTGAGATGAATGCATACATCACAAAGAAGTTTCTCAGAATGTTTCTGTAGAGATTTTATGTTAAGATATTTACTTTTCCACCATAGACCTCATAGCACTCCAAATGTCCACTTGCAGGGTCTACCAAAAGAGTGTTTCAAAGCTACTCAATCAAAAGAAAGTTTCAACTCTGTGAGATGAATGCACACATCACAAAGTAGTTTCTCAGAATGCTTCTATTTATTATGTGAAGATATCTCATTTTCCAACTTAGGTCTCAAAGCACTCCAGATGTCCACCTGCAGATTCTACAAAAGAAGTGTTTCAAAACTGCTCAATCGAAAGTAAAGTTCAACTCTGTGAGATGAATGCACACCTCACAAAGAAGTTTGTCAGAAATCTTCTGACTAGTTTTTATGTGAGGATATTTCCTTTTCCACCAGAGTCCGCAAAGCGCTCCAAATGTCCTATTGTAGATTCTACAACAAGAGTGTTTCAAAACAGTTCAATCAAAACTAAGGTTCACCTCTGTGAGATGAATGCACACATCACAAAGAAGGTTTTCAGAATGCTTCTGTCTAGGACTTAAGTGAAAATATTTTCTTTTCCACCATAGGCCTCAAAGCTCTACAAATGTCCTCTTGCAAATTCTACAAAATGTGTTTCAAAATTGATCAATCAAAAGAAATTTCCAACTCTGTCAAGTGAGTGCACACATCCCAAAGAAGTTTGTCAGAATGATTCTGTCTAGTTTTAATGTGAAGATGTTTCCTTTTCCACACTAGGCCTCACAGTACTCAAAATGTCCACCTGCAGATTCTGCAAAAAGAGTTTTTAAAAACTACTCAATCAAAAGAAAATTTCAACTATGTGAGGTGAATGCACACATCACAGAGAAGTTTCTCAGAATGCTTCTGTCTAGTTTTTATGTGATGATATTTCCTTTTCCACCATAGGCCTGAAAACTCTACAAATATACACTTGCAGATTCTACAAAAAAGTGTTTCAAAACTGCTCAATGAAAAGAAAGGTTCAAATATGTGAGATGAATGCGCACATCACAAAGAAGTTTGTCAGAATGTTTCTGTATAGGTTTTATATGAAGATATTCCCTTTTCCACCATAGGCTTCGAAGCGCACCAAATTTCCACATGCAGATTGTACAAAGTGTTTCAAAGCTGTTCAATCAAATAAAAGGTTTAAACCTGTGAGATGAATGCACACATCACAAAGAAATTTGTCAGAATGCTTCTGTCTAGTTATTGTGAAGATATTTCCTTTTCCATCATAGGCCTCAATGCACGCCAAATGTCCACTTACAGATAGTACAAAAAGGGTGTTTCAAAACTGCTGAATCAAAAGAAAGTTTCAACTCTTTTAAATGAATGCACATATGACAAAGAAGTTTATCAGAATGCTTCTATCTAGTTTTCATGTGAAGATTTTTTTAAATATGCCTCAAATCGCTCCAAATGTCCACTTGCAAATTCTACAAAAAGAGTGTTTCCAAACTGCTCAATAAAAAGAAAGATTCAACTCTGTGAGAAGAACGCACACATCACAAAGAAGTTTCTCAGAATGCTTCTGTCTAGGTTTTATGTAAAGATATTTACTTTTCCATCATAGGCCTCAAAGTGCTCCAATCCACTCCAATGCATTCCATTCTGTCCCATTCCATTCCACTCCATTCCTCTCCACTCCACCCCACTGCACTCCACACCCTATTCCTTTCCATTCCGTTCCATTCCATTCCATTCCATTCCATTCCATTCCATTCCATTCCGTTCCATTCCATTCCACACCATTCCATTCCTTACCTTTCTTTTGATATTATCTCACTCTGTCACCCAGGCTGCTGTACAGTGGCACAATCTCAGCTCACTTTTCATTTCACCATTCCATTCCATTGCATTCCATTTCATTCCATTCCATTGCGTTCCATTTCATTCCATTCAATTCCATTCTTTCAATTCCATTCCATTCCATTCCACTCCACTCCACTCCACCCCGCTCCACTCCATCCCATTCCATTTCACACCATTCCACTCCACTCCACTCCAATCCATTCAACTCCATCCCATTCCATTCCCCTCCGTTCCC
>NT_187512.1:14264-16789 GCF_000001405.40 Homo sapiens | reverse complement strand
ACTCCACTCCACTCCACTCAACTCCATTCCACTCCACAGCTTTCCATTCCACTCCACTCCATTTCATTCTTTTCCATTCCATTCCAGTCCACTCCACTCCACTCTATTCCACTCCACTCCTTTCCATTCCACTCCACTCCTTTCCATTCCACTCCACTCCTTTCCATTCCACTCCACTCCACTCCATTACATTCCACTCCTCTCCATTCCATTCTATTCCACTCCATTCCACTCCACTCCATTCCATTCCACGCCACTCCCTTCCTTTCCACTCCACTCCACTCCATTCCATTTTATTCCACTCCACTGCATTCCATTCCATTCCATTCCATGCCATGACATTCCACTGCACTCCAATCCACTCCACCCAACTCCTATCCACCCCACTCCACTCCACTCCGTTCCCTTCCATTCCATTCCATTCCGTTCCATTTAATTCCATTCCATTCCATTCCACTCCATTCCATTTCACTCCATTCCTCTCCATTCCTCTCCACTCCATTCCACTCTACTCCACTCCAATTCACTCCACTCCATTCCATTGAATTTCACTGCACTCCGATCCATTCCACTCAACTACACTACACTACACTACACTACAATACACTACACTTCGTTCCATTCCATTCTGTATCGTTCCTTTCCATTCCACTCCATTTCTTTCCTATACACTCCATTCCATTCCACTCCATTTCACTCTTTTCCACTCCATTCCACTCCATTCCACTCCACTCCATTCCGTTCCACTCAACTTCATTCCGTTCCATTCCACTCCATTCCATTCCGTTCCATTCCACTCCATTCCACTATGATCCATTCCATTACACTCCATTCTACTCCACTCCACTGTATTATCTTCCATTCCAGTTCATTTCATTCCATTCTATTCCATTCCTTTCCATTCTATTCCATTCCATTCCTCTCCATTCCATTCTATTCCTCTCCATTCCATTTCATTCCTTTCCACTCCATTCCACTCCATTCCACTCCATTCCATTCCACTCCACTCCACTCCATTCCTTTCCAATCATTTCCATTCCTCTCCATTCCATTTCATTCCTTTCCACTCCATTCCACTCCATTCCACTCCACTCCATTCCACTCCACTCCACTCCATTCCACTCCATTCCATTCAACTCCACTCCATTCCATTCCACTCTACTGCATTCCATTCCATTCCTTTACTTCGATTGGATGTCACTCTGTCACCCAGAGTGTAGTGCAGTGGCACAATCTTAGCTCACATTACATTTCACCATTCCATTGCATTCCATTGCATTCCATTCCATTCCATTCCACTCCACTGCACTCCACTCTACTCCATTCCATTCCACTTCACTCCATTCCATACCATTCCATTCCATGCCATTCCATTCCATTCCACTCCACTCTGATCCACTCTACTCACCTGCACTCCACTCCACTCCATTCCATTCTGTTCCATTCCATAGCGTTCCATTCCATTCCATTCCTTTCCACTCCATTCCATTCTACTCCACTCCATTCCATTCCACTTCATTCCAATCCACTCCTCTGCACTCCACTCCACTCCATTTCATTCTACTCTATTCCATTCGATTCCTTTATTTCAACTGAATCTCACTCTGTCACCCATATTGGAGTGCAGTGGTACAATTTTAGCACACATTTCATTTCACCTTTCCATTCCATTGCACTCCACTCCACTGCATTGCAATCCATTCAACTCCACTCCTTTCCATTCCATTCCATTCCGTCCCATTCCATTTCATTCCATTCCACTGCACTCAGATCCACTCGACTCAACTCCAATTCACTCCCCTCCACTCTGTTCCGTTCCCTTCCTTTCCATTCCATTCCATTCCATTCCTTTCCATTCCATTCCACTGCACTCCGATACACTCCACTCAACTTCTCTCCACTCTACTCCACTCCGTTGCATTCCATCCCAATCCATTCCATTCCATTCCAATCCACTCCACTCCACTCTATTTCACTCCATTCCACTCCATTCAACTCTAATCCACTAAACTCCATTGCATTTCACTCCATTCCACTCCACTCCACTCTATTTCACTCCATTCCACTCCACTCAACTCTAATCCACTAAACTCCATTGCATTTCACTCCATTCCACTCCATTCCACTCCACTCCTCTCCATTCAACTCCATTCCATTTGATTCTACTCCATTCCATTGCATTCCTTTATTTCGACTGGATCTCACTCTGTCACCCAGACAGGAGTTTCGGTGCACAATCTTAGCTCACATTTCACTTCACAATTCCATTCCATTCCATTCCTTTACATTACTCTCCACTCCACTCCACTGCATTCCACTTCTCTCCATTTCACTACACTCCATTCCATTCCATTCCATTCCATTCCATTCCATTCCATTCCATTCCATTCAATCCAATCCATTCCATTCAACACCACTCCACTCCACTCCACTCCACTCCATTGCAATACATTCCATTCCATTCCATTCCATTCTATTCCATCCTCTTCCATTCCATTCCATTCCGCTCCACTTCATTCCATTAA
>NT_187512.1:0-10219 GCF_000001405.40 Homo sapiens | reverse complement strand
ATTCCATTCCATTCCATTCTATTCCATTCCATTCCATTCCACTTCACTCCATTCCACTGTACTCCAATCTTCACGTGAAAACTAGACAGAAACTTTCTGATAAACTTTTTTGTGATGTGTTCATTCATTTCACAGAGTCGATCCATTCTATTGATTGAGCAGTTTGGTCACAGTCTTTTTGTATAATCTGCAAAAGGATATTTGTGAGCGCTTTGAAGCCTATGGTGAAAAAGCAAATATCTTCACAGAAAAACTAGAAAGAAGGTTTCTGAGAAACTGTTTTTTGATGTGTGAATTCATCTCACAGAATTGAACCTTTCTATTGATTGAGTGTATTGGAAACCGTCTTTTTGTAGAATCTGCAAAGGATTATTTGTGAACGCTTGTGGGCCAATGGTGGAAAAGGAAATATCTTCACAAGAAAACTAGACAGAAGCTTTCTGGGACACTTCTGTGTTATGTGTGCACTCATCTGAATCAGTTGAGCCATTCTTTTGATTCAGCAGTTTGGAAACAGTCTTTTTGTAGAATCAACAAAGGATATTTGTGAGTGCTTTGAGGCCTATGGGGAAAAAGTAAATATCTTCACATAAAAACTAAACAGAAGGTTTCTGAGAAACTGCTTTGTAATGTATGCATTCATCTCACAGAGGTAAACATTTCTTTTCATTGAGCAGATGGGAAAATCTTTTCTTGTAGAATCTACAAAGGGATATTTGTGAGTGCTTTGAGGCCTATGGTGAAAAAGGAAATATCTTCATATAAAATGTAGACAGAAACGTTCTGAGAAACTTATTTGTGATGTGTGCATTCATCTCATAGAGTTGAACCATTCTTATTTTTTTTTTGAACTCTCTGTTTAATTATTTATTTACTTTTATTATTATTATACTTTATGTTTTAGGGAACATGTGTACAACGTGTAGGTTTGTTACATATGTATACATTTGCCATGTTTGTATGCATTAGGTATATCTCCTAAGGCTATCCCTCCCCCTCCCCACACCGGACTACACTCTCTGGTTTGTGGTGTGTGATGGTTCTCTTTCTGTGTCCATGTGTTCTTTGATCAATTCCCAACTATGAGTGAGATCATGTGGTGTTTTATTTTTTGTCCTTGTGATAGTTCGCTGAGAATGATGGTTTCCAGCTTCATCCATGTCCCTACAAAGGACATCAACTCATCATTTTTTATGGCCGCATAGTGTTCCATGATGTATATGTGCCACATTTTCTTCATTCAGTCTATCGTTGTTGGACATTTACATTGGTTCCAAGTCTTTGCTATTGTGAATAGTGCCACTATAAACATACGTGTGTATGTGTCTTTATAGCAGCATGATTTATAATCCTTTGGGTATATACCCAGTAATGGGCTGGCTAGGTCAAATGGTATTTCTAGTTCTAGATCCCTGAGGAATCACCATACCGACTTCCACAATGGTTGAACTAGTTTACACTGCAACCGACAGCACAAAAGTGTTCCTATTTCTCACATCCTCTCCAGCACCTGTTGTTTCCTGACTTTTTAATGATCGCCATTCTAACTGGTGTGAGATGGTATCTCATTGTGGTTTTGACTTGCATTTCTCTGATGGCCAGTGAAGATGAGCATTTTTTCATTTGTTCATTGGCTGCATAAATGTCTTCTTTTGAGAAATGTCTGTTCATATACTTCACCCACTTTTTGATGGGGTTGTTTTTTTCCTGTAAATTAGTCTGAGTTCCTTGTAGATTCCTGATATTAGCCCTTTTTCAGATGAGTAGGTTGCAAAAATATTCTCCCATTCTGTAGGATTCCTGTTCACTCTGATGGTGGTTTCTTTTGCTGTGCAGAAGCTCCTTAGTTTAATTAGATCCCATTTGTCAATTGTGGCTTTTGTTGCCATTGCTTTAGGTGTTTTAGACATGAAGTTCTTGCCCATGCCTATGTCCTGAATGGTCTTGCCTAGGTTTTCTTCCAGAGATTTTATGTGTAGCATTCTTCTGATTAATCAGTTTGGGTATTCTGTTCTTGTAGAATCTGCAAGGAGATATTTGTGAGCGCTTTGAGGCCTTTGGTGAAAAAGGAAATACCTTCACATAATAAATAGACAGAAGTTCTCTGAGAAACCTCTCTGTCATGTGTACGTTCATCTCACATAGTTGAAACAGTCTTTTGACTGAGCAGTTTGAAAACTGTCCATTTGTAGAATCTGCAAAGGGATAATTGTGAGCCCTTTGAGGCCTATGTTGAGAAAGAAAATATCTTCACATAAAAACTAGACAGAAGATTTCTGAGAAACCTCTTTGTGGTGTGTGCATTCATCTCACAGAGTTGAACCATTCTTTTGATTGAGCAGTTTGTAAACAGACTTTTTGTAGAATCTTCAAAGGGATATTTGTCAGCTTTATGAGGCCTATGGTGAAAAAGGAAATATCTTCAATAAAAACTATAAAGAATGTTTCTGAGAAGCTGTTTTGCAAGGTGTGCACTCATCTCAGAGACAAAAAATTTTCTATTCTTTGATGAGTCTGGAAACTCTGTTCTTGTAAAATATGCAAAGGGATATTTGTGAGTGGCTTGAGGCCTATGGTGAAAAAGGAAATATCTTCACATAAAAACTACACAGAAGGTTTCAGAGAAACTTCTTTGTGATACGTGCATTCATCTCACAGAGTTGAACCATTCTTTTGATTGAGAAGTTTGGAAACAGTCTTTTCAGAGAATTTGCAAAGGGACATTTTGAGCGCTTTGATAGGTATGGTGAAAAGGGAAATATCTTCACATAAAAAGTGGACAGAAGTTTTCAGAGAAACTTATTTGCGATGTGTGCATTCATCTCACAGAGTTGAACTTTTCTTTTTATTTAGCAGTTTGAAAAGAGTTCTTTTCTAGAATCTGCAGAGGGATATTTGTGAGCCCTTATGGCTTAAGGTGAAATAGGCAATATCTTCACATAAAAACTAGACAGAGGAATTCTGAAAAACTTCTTCATGAAGGGTGATTTCATCACACAGAGTTGAACCTCTCTTTTGATTGAGGAGTTTGGAAACTGCCTTTTTGTAGAATATGGAAATGGATATTTGGAGCACTTTGAGGCCTATGGTGAAAAAAGAAATAACTTCACCTGAAAAATAGATAGAAGCATTCTGAGAAACTTCTTTGTGATGTATGCATTCATCTCACAGAGTTTAAGCTTTCTTCTGATTAAGCAGTTTCAAAACAGTCCTTTTGTAGAGTCTGCAAAGGGATATTTGTGAGCCCTTTGAGGCCTATGGTGAAATAGGAAATATCTTCACATAAAAACTAGTCAGAAGATTTCGGAGAAACTTCTTTGTGATGTGTGCTTTCATCTCACAGAGTAGAACCTTTCTTTTGATGGAGCAGTTTGGAAACACACTTTTTCTAGAATCTGCAAATGGATATTTGGAGCAGTTTGAGTACTATGGTGAAAAAGGAAATATCTTCACATAAAAACTAGAAAGCAACATTCTATGAATCTACTTTGTTACGTGTGCTTTCATCTCACAGAGTTGAACCTTTCTATTCATTGAGCAGTTTGGAAACCATCATTTTGTAGAATCTGCAAATGGATATTTGGAGAGGTGTGAGGCATCCTGAGAAAGGAAACATCTTTACATAAAAACTAGACAGAAGCATTCTGAGAAACTTCTTGGCGATGTGTGCATTTATCCCACAGAGTTGAACCCTTCTTTATATTAAACAGTTTGGAAACTGTCTTTTTGTAGTATCTGTAGAGGGATGTTTGCAAGAATTTGAGGCCTATGGTGAACAAGGAAATATATTCACATAAAAACTAGACAGAAGCTTTCTGAGAAACTTCTTTGTGATGTGTGAATTCATCTGACAGTGTTGAACCTTTCTTTGGATTGAGCAGTTTGGAAACAATCCTTTTGTAGAATCTTCAAAAGTATATTTCTGAGCCCATTGAGGTCTATGGTGAAATATGATATATCTTCCCATAAAAACTAGACAGAAGGTTTCTAAGAAACTTCTTTGTGATGTGTGCTTCCATCTCACAGAGTTGAACTTTTCTTTTGATTGATCAGTTTGGAAACACTCTTTTTGTAGAATCTGCAAATGGATATTTGGAGCACTTTGAGGCCTATGGTGGAAAAGGAAATATCATCACATAAAAATTCGACAGAAGAATTCTGAGAAACTTCTTTTTGAGGCTTGCATTCTTCTACAGCTGAACATTTCTTTGATTGAATATTTGGAAACACTCTTTTTGTAGAATCTACAAATGGGTATTTGGAGTGCTTTGAGGCCTATGGTGAAAAAAGAAATATCTTCACATAAAAACTAGACAGATGCATTCTGCAAAACTTCTTTGTGATGTGTGCATTCATCTCACAGGGTTGAATCATTCTTTGGATTCAGCAGTTTTCTAAACAGTCCTTTTGTAGAATCTGCAAAGGGATATTTATGAGCCCACTGAGTCCTATGGTGAAAAAGGAAATATCTTCAAATAAAAGCAAAACAGAAGCGTTCTGAGAACCTTCTTTTTGATGTGTGCATTCGTCTCTCAGCGTTGAAACTTTCTTTTGATTGAGCAGGTTGGAAACAGTCTTTTTGTAAGATCTGCAAAGGGATATTTCTGAGCCGTTTGTGGCTGATGATGAAAAAGATATATCTTCACATAAAAACTAGACAGAAGCATTCTGAGAAATCTCTTTCTGATGTGTGCATTCATCTCACAGAGTTGAATCTTTCTTTTGTGTGAACAGTTTGGAAACAGTCTTTTTTTTGCATATGCAAACGGATATTTGTGAGCCCTTTGCAGCCTAAGGTGAAATAGGAAATACCTTCACATAAAAACTAGACAGAATCTCTCTGAGAAAATGCTTTGTGATGTGTGCTTTAATCTCACAGAGGTGAAATTTTCTTTTGATTGAACAGTTTGGAAACAGTCTTTTTGTGGAATCTGCAAATGGATATTTGCAGTGCTTTTAGGCCTATGGAGAAAAAGGAAATATCTTCACAAAAACACTAAAAAGAAGCTTTCTGAGAAACTTATTTGTGATGCGTGGACTCATATCACAGAGCTGATCCTTTCTTTTGATTGAGCAGATTTGAAACCATCCTTTTGTACAATCTGCAAAGAGATATTTTTGAGCCGTTTGATGCCTATGGTGAAAAAGAATTATCTTCACATAAAAAGTAGACAGAATCATTCTGAGAAACTCCTTTGTGATGTGTGCATTCACCTCACAGAGTTGAACCTTTCTTTTCTTGGAGCAGTTTGGAAACAGTCTTTTTGTAGTATCTGCAGAGGGATATTTGTGAGCAGTTTAAGGCCTATGGTGAAAAAGGAAATATCTTCACATTAAACTAGACAGAAGCATTCTGAGAAACTTATTTTTTATGTGTGCATTAATCTCACAGAGATGAATCTTTCTTTTCATTGAGCAGTTTGGAAAGAATCTTTTATACAAAGTGCAAAGGGATATTTCTGAGTGCTTTGAGGTCTATAGTGAAAAAGAAATATCTTCACAGAAAAACTAGACAGAAGCATTCTGAGAAACTTCTTTTTTAATGTGTGCATTCACCTCACAGAGTTGAAACTTTCTTTTCATTGAGAAGTTTGGAAACAGTCTTTTTGTGGAATTTGCAAATGGATGTTTTGCGTGTTTTGAGGCCTATGGTGAAAAAGTAAATATCTTCACATTAAAACTAGACAGAAGCATTCTGAGAAACTTCTTTGTGACGTGTACATTCATCTCATGTTTTTGAGCCTATCTTTTGATTGAGCAGATTGGAAACAGTATTTTTGTTGTATCTGCAGAGGGATATTTGTGAGCGGTTTGAGGTCTATGGTGAAAAAGGGAATACCTTCACATAAAAACTAAACAGAAGCATTATGGGAAACGTCTCTGTGATGTGTGCATTCAACTCACCGAGGTGAAACTTTGTTTAGATTGAGCAGTTTGGAAACTATACTTTTTTAGAATCTGCAAAGGGATATTTCTGAGCCCATTGAGGCCTAGGGTGAAAAAGAAATATCTTCACATAAAAACTGGACAGGTGCATTCTGAGAAACTTCTTTGTGATGTGTCCATTCATCTCACAGAGTTGAACCTTTCTTTGGATTGAGCAGTTTGGACAGTCTTTTTGTAGAATCTGTAAAAAATATTTGTGATCCCTTTACAGCCTATGTTGAAAAAGGAAATATCTTCACATAAAAACCAGGCAGAAGCATTCTGAGAAACTTCTTTCTGATGTGTGCATTCATCTCACAGAGTTGAACCTTTCTTTTGTTTGAACAGTTTGGAAACAGTCTTTTTTTTAGAATATGCAAACGGATATTTGTGAGCCCTTTACAGCCTATGGTGAAATAGGAAATATCTTCACATAAAAACCAGACAGAAGCATTCTGAGAAACTTCTTTGTGATGTGTGTATTCATATCACAGAGTTGAACATTTCTTTGGATGCAGCAGTTTGGAAACAGTCTTTTTGTAGTATCTGCAGAGGGATATTCATGAGCAGTTTAAGGCCTATGGTTAAAAAGGATATATCTTCACAGAAAACCTCGACAGATCCATTGTGAGAAACTTCTTTGAGATGTGTGCATTCATCTCACAGAGTTGAACCTTTCTTTGGATTGAGCAGTTTTCTAAACAGACCTTTTGCAGAATCTACAAAGGGATACTTCTGAGCCCATTGAGGCCTATGGTGAAAAAGGAAATATCTTCACATGAAATCTTAACAGAAGCTTTCTGAGAAACTTCTTTGTGATGTGTGCATTCACCTCACAGTGTTGAAACTTTCTTTTGATTGAGCAGTTTGGAAACAGTCTTTTTGTACAATCTGCAAAGGGATATTTCTGAGCCATTTGAGGCCCATAGAGAGAGAAATATCTTCATATAAAAACTAGACAAAAGCATTCTGAGAAACTTCTTTGTAATGTGTGCATTCATCACACATAGTTGAAATTTTCCTCTGATTGAGCAGTTTGGAGACAGTATTTTTGTATAATATGCAAAAGGATATTTGTGAGCCCTTTCAGGACTATGGTGAAATAGGGAATATCTTCACAAAAAAACTAGACAGAAGCTTTCTGAGAAACTTCTTTGTGATGCGTGCTTTCATCTAACAGAGTTGAACTTTTCTTTTGATTGGGCAGTTTGGAAACAGTCTTTTTGTGGAATCTGAAGATGGATATTTGCAGCGTTTCAGGCCTATGGTGAACAGGAAATTTCTTCACATAAAAACTAGAGAGAAGCATTCTGAGAAACTTCTTTGTGATGTGTGCATTCATGTCACAGAGTTGAAACTTTCCTTGGATTGAGCAGTTTGGAAAGAGTCCTTTTGTAGAATCTGCAAAGGGATATTTGTGAGCACATAGGGGGCCTATGGTGAAATAGGAAATGTCTTCATATAAAAACTAGACAGAAGTTTTCTGTAAAACTTCTTTGTGTTGTGTGCTTTCACCTCACAGAGTTGAACATCTCTTTTGATTGAGCAGTTTGGAAACACTCTTTTTGTAGGACTTGCAAACGGATATTTGGAGTGCTTTGAGGCCTATGGTGAAAAAGAAAATATCTGTATATAAAAACTAGACAGAAACTTTCTGAGAAACTTCCTTGTGATGTGTACTTTCATCTCACAGATTTGGACCTTGCTTTTCATTGAGCAGTTTGGCAACAATTCATTTTGTAGAATCTGCAAAGGGATATTTGTGAGTGGTTTGAGGCCTATGGTGAAAAAGTAAATATCTTCACCTAAAACCTAGACAGAAGCATTTTGAGAAAACTCTTTGTGATGTTTGCATTCATCTCACTGAGTTGAACTTTTCTGTTCATTGAGCAGTGTGGAAACATACTTTTTGTGCAATCTGTAAAGGAATATTGGTTTGCAGTTTGAGACCTATGTTGAAAAAGTAATATCTTCACATAAAAACAGACAGAAGCCTTCTGAGAAACTAATTTTTTATGTGTGCTTTGATCTCACAGAGTTGAACCTTTCTTTTGATGAAGCAGTTCGGAAACAGTTTTTTGTAAAATCAGAATAGGG
Source organism: Homo sapiens (assembly GCF_000001405.40). NCBI lineage: Eukaryota > Metazoa > Chordata > Mammalia > Primates > Hominidae > Homo > Homo sapiens. Next base: position 2,197 of record NT_187512.1, on the reverse strand, counting down.
ATATTTGTGATCCCTTTGAGGCCAAAGGTGAAAAAGGAAATATCTTCACATAAAAATGAGATAGAAACTTTCTGAGAAACTTCTTTGTGTCGTGGGCTTTCATCTCACAGATGTGAACCTTTATTTTGATTGAGCAGTTTGGAAAGAGTCTTTTTGTAGAATCTGCGAATGTATATTTGGAGCGTTTTAAGGCCTAGAGTGAAAAAGGAAATATCTTCACATAAAAACAACACAGTAGCTTTTTGAGAAATCTCTTTGTGACATTTTAATTCATCTCTAAGAGTTGACCATTTATTTTCATTGAGCAGTTTGGAAACAGTCTTTTTGTACAAAATGCAAAGGGATACTTCTGAGCAGTTTGAGGTCAATGGTTAAAAATAAATATCTTCACATGAAACCTAGACAGAAGCATTTTGAGAAACTTCTTTGTGATGTGTGCATTCTTCTCACAGAGTTGAACCTTTCTTTGGATTTAGCAATTTGGAGAAAGTCTCTTGGTAGTACAAGTGGAGTTATATTTGTGAGCGATTTAAGGCCTATGGTGCAAAAGGAAACACCTTCACATAAAAAGTAGACAGAAGCTTTCTGAGAAACTTTGTAATGTGTGTTTTTGTCTCACAGATTTGAGCCTTTCTTTTGATTGACCAGTTTGGAAACATTCTTTTTGTAGAATCTGCAAATGGATATTTGGAACAATTTGAGACCTATGGTGAAAAAGGAAATATCTTCACATAAAAACTAGACAGAAGCTTTCTGAGAAACTTCTTTGTGATGTGTGCATTCATCACACAGTGTTGAAACTTTATTTTGTTTGAGCAGTTTAGAAACAGTCTTTTACTGCAATCTGCAAAGGTATATTTCTGAGCCATTTGAGGTCTATGGTGAAAAAGAAATATCTTCACATTGAAACTAGACAGAAGCATTCTGAGGAACTTCTTTGTGAGGTCTCCATTCATCTGACAGAGTTGAAAGTTTCTTTTAATTCAGCACTTTGGAAACCATATTTTTGTAGAATCTGCAAAGGGATATTTTTGAGACATTTGAAGCCTATAGTGAAATAGTAAATATCTTCACATAAAAACTAGACAGGAGAATTCTGAGAAACTTCATTCTGATGTGTGCATTCACCTCACAGAATTTAACCTTTCTTTTGATTGAGCAGTATGGAAATGGTCGTCTTTTAGAATCTGGAAAGGGATATTTCTTAGCCCTTTGAGGCCTATGGTGAAACTGGAAATATCTTCACATGAAAACTAGACCAAAGCTTTTTGAGAAATTTCTTTGAGATGTGTGCTTTCATCTCACAGAGTTAAAACTTTCTTTTGATTGAGCAGTTTAGAAACACTCTTTTTGTGAAATCTGTAAATGGATATTAGGAGCACTTTGAGGCCAATGGTGACAAAGGATATATCTTCATGTAAAAACTAAACAGAAGTTTTCTGAGAAACTACTTTTGGATGTGTCCATTCATCTCACAGAGTTGAACCTTTCTTTTGATTGAGCAGGTTGGAAAGAGGCTTATTGTACAATCTGCAAAGGAATAATTCTGATCCGTTTGAGGCCTATGGTGAAAGAGAAATATATTCACATAAAAACTAGACAGAATCATTCCGAGAAATTTCTTTGTGATGTGTCCATTCATCTCACAGAGTTGAACCTTTCTTTTGATTGAGCAGTTTGGAAACAGTCTTTTTGTAAAACCTTCAAAGGGATATTTGTGAGCCCTTTATGGCCTCAGGTGAAATAGGAAGTATCTTCACATACATACTAGAGAGAAGCTGTCTGAGTAACATTTTTGTGATGTGTGCTTTCATCTCAGAGAGGTAAAAATTTGTTTTGATTGAACAGTTTTGAAACAGCCTTTTTGTAGAATCTGCAAATGGATGTTTGGATTGCTTTGAGGCCTATGTTGAGAAAGGTAATATCTTCACATAAAAACAAGACAGCAGATTTCTGAGAAACTCCTCTTTTATGTGTGCATTCATCTCACCGGTTTGAACCTTTCTTTTGATTGAGCAGTTTGGAAACAGTCTTTTTGTACAATCTGCAAAGGGATATTTCTGAGTCATTTGAGGCCCTTCAAGAGAGAAATATCTTCATATAAAAACTAGACAGAAGCATTATGATAAACTAATTTATTATGTGTGCATTCGTCTCACAGAGATGAACCTTTCTTTTTATTTAGCAGTTCAAAAAC
>NT_187511.1:11349-79590 GCF_000001405.40 Homo sapiens | reverse complement strand
ATAGAATGGAATGCAATGGAATGGAACGGAGTGAAATCAAGTGAAATGGAATCGAATGGAATGGAATCGAATGGAATGGAATCGATTGTAATGGACTGGAATATAATGGACTCGAATGATTTGGACTAGAAAAAAATGGAATCGAACAGATTCGAAATGAACGGAACGTAATGGAATGGAATGGAATGGAATGGAAAGGACTCCAATGTAATGGAGTCGCATGGAATGGGATTGAATGGAATGGAATGGAATATAATGGAATTGAATGAAATTGAAAAGAATATAACGGAATGGAATGGAATGGAATGGAAAGAAATGGAATGGAATGGAATGGACTCAAATGGATCATACTGGAATGGAAAGAACTCGAATGGAATGGACTGGAGTTGAATGGACTCGAATGGAATGGAAACGAATGAATGGAATGGAAAGGAATAGAATGAAATGGAATGGAATAGAATGGAATGGAATCGGATGGAACGGAATGGAATGGAATGGAGTAGAAAGGAATAGAATTGAATAGAATGGCATCGAATGGAATGGAATGGAATGGACCCAAATGTAATAGCCTCGAATGGAATGGACACAAATAGAATGAACACGAAAGGAATGGTCTCAAATGGAATTCATTCAAATAGAATGGAATCGAATGGAATGCAATAGAATGGAATCAAAACGAATGCATTGGAGTCGAATAGAATGGACTGGACTGGAATGGACTGGAATGGAAAGGACTCGAAAATAATGGATTGCAATGTAATTTATTTGAATGGAATGCAATTGAATATACTGTAGTCAATTGGATTGGAAAGGAATGAAACGGAAATTAATAGAGTGGAATGCAATGGAATGGAACAGAGTGGAATCGAGTGGAATGGAAACAAATGCAATGGAATCAAATGGAAGGGATTCGAATGGAATGGACTGGAAAGGAATAGACTCGAATGGAATGGACTGGAACACAATGGAATCGAACGGATTGGAATCAAACAGAACAGAATGGAATGAAATGGAATGGATTCGACTGGAATGGAGTCAAATGGAATGGAACAGAATAGAATGGAATTGAATGGAATCGAATGCAATAGAACGGAATGGAGAGCAATGGAAAGATATTGAATGAAATGGAATGGAATGGACTTGAATGGAATGCACTGGAATGGAATGGACTCGAAAAGAATGGACTGGAGTGGAATAGACACCAGTGGAAGGGAAACGAATGTAATGTAATGTAATGGAATGCATTGGAATGGAATGACATTTCATAGAATGGACTGGAATCGGAAGAAATGGAATGGAATGGAATAGAGACAAATGGAATTGAATGGAATGGAATGGCATCGAATGGAATGGAATGGAAAGGAAGGGAATGGACTCGAATGGAATGGACTCAAATGGAATAAAATCGAATGGAAGTTCATGGAATGGAATGGAATATGATGTAATGGAAGGGCATGGAATGGAATGGAATGGAAAGGAATGGAGTGGAATGGACCCAAAAGTATTAGACACGAATGGAATGGACTCACATAGAATGGACTCGAATGGAATGGTTTTGAATGGAATTTATTCAAATAGAATGGAATCGAGTGGAATGAAATAGTATGGAATGGAATCGAATGGAATGAAATCGAACGCAATCAACCGGAATGGAATGGACTGGTATAGAATGGACACGAATGTAATGGATTGCAATGTAACTGATTCAAATGGAATGGAATCGTATGGAATGTAATCAAATGGAATAGATTGGAATGGAATGGATTGGAACAGAATGGAATACAATGGAATGGAACGGAGTCAAATTGAGTGGAAAGGAATCGAATGGAATGGAATCAAATGGAATGGAATCGAATGTAATGGACTGGAATGGAGTGGACTGGAATAAAATGGGATTGAACAGATAGGAATCGAGCAGAACAGAACGGAATGGAATGGAATGTCCTCGAATAAACTGGAATGGAATGGAAAGGAAGAAAATGGAATCAAACGAATTGGAATCGAGTGGAACGAAATGGAATGGAATGGAATGGACTTGAATGCAATGGGGTCAAATGGAATGGAATTGAATGGAATGGAATCAAAAAGAATGGAATTGAATGGAATCTAAAGGTATAAAATGGAATGGAGTTTAAAGGAAAGATATCGAATGGAATGAAAAGGAATGTACTTGAATGGAATGGACTGGAATGGAATGGACTCGAATGGAATGGACTGGAGAGGAAGGGTCTCGAATGGAATGGAAACGAATGGAATGGAATGAAAAGGAAAGGAATAGAATGGAATGGAATATGATGGAATGGAATGGAATGGAATGGAATGGAATGGAATGGACTCGAATGGAATGGACACTAATGGAATTGAATACAATGTAATGGCATCAAATGGAATGGAATGGAAGGGAGTGTAATGGAAAGATATCAAACGGGATTTAATGGAATGGAATGGATTCAAATGGAATGGACGGGATTGGAGTTTACTCAAATGGAATGGACTGGAGTGGAATGGACTCGAATGGAATGGACTGGATTGGAATTTACTCAAATGGAATGGACTGGTGTGGAATGGACTCGAATGTAATGGAAACGAATGGAATGGAATGGGATAGAATGGAGCCAAATGTAATGGACTCAAATGGAATGGACTCAAAGAGAATGAACTCAAAAGGAATGCTCTCAAATGGAATTTATTCGAATAGAATGTAATAGAATGGAATGCAACATTATGCAATGGAATCAAATGGAATCCAATATTATGGAATGGAATTCAATGGAATAGAGTCGAATGGAATGGACTGGAATAGAATGGTCTCGAATGAAATGGACTGCAATGTAATTGATTCAAATGGAATGGAATCGAATGTAAGGTAATCAAACTGATTGGAATGGAATGCAATGGAATGGAATTGAATGGAATGCAATGGAATGGAAAGAGCAGAATCGAGTGGAATGGAATCAAATGGAATGGAATCGATTGGAATGGACTGGAATGTAACGGACTCAAATGGATTGGACTGGAACAAAATGCAATCGAACAGATTGGAATCGAATGGAAAAGAATGGAATGGAATGAAACGGAATGGAATGGAGTGGAATGGTATCGAATGGTATGGAGTTGAAAGGTATGGAATCGAATTAAATGGAATGAAATAGAATGGAATTGAAAGGAATCAAAAAAAGAATGGAATTGAGTGTAAAGGAAAGAAATCGAATGGAATGGAAAGGAATGGATCAAACGGAATGTACTGGAATTGAACTGACGCTTATGTCATGGACTAGAGTGGAATGGACACGAATGGCATGGAAACGAATGGAATGAAAAGGAATGGAATGGAAAGGAATACAATGGAATGGAATCGGATGGAATGGAATGGAATGGAAACGAATGGAAGAGAATTCAATGGAATGGCATCGAATGGAATGGAAAGGAATGAACTGGAATGGACTCGAAAGGAATGGACTAGAATGGAATAGAATCAAATGGAATGGCATCGAATGGAATGGAATGGAATTTAATGGAATGCAATGGAATGGAATGGACCCAAATGTAATGGACACGAATGGAATGGACTCAAATAAAATGGAATCGAATGGAAGGGACTCGAATGGAATTTATTCGATTAGAATGGAATTGAATGGAATGCAATAGTATGGAATGGAATCGAATGCAATGGAATCGAATGGAGTAGACTGGAATGGAATGGACTCGAATAGAACGGACACGAATATAATGGATTACAATGTAGTTGTTACGAATGGATTGGAATCCAATGGAATGTTATCAAATGGAATGGAATGGAATGCAATGGAATGGAATGGAAAGGAATGGAATGCATTGGAATGGAATACAGTGGAATGCAATGGAAAGGAACGGAGTGGAATCAAGTGGAATGGAATCAAAGGGCATGGAATGGAATCGAATGGAATGGAATCCAATGGAATGGTCTGGAAGAAAATGGAATGATACGGACTGGGAACGAACGGAAGAGAATGGAATGGAATGGAATGGAGTGTAATGCAAAGACATCGAAAGGAATGCAATGGAAGGGACTCGAATGGAATGGAATGGAATGGAATGAAATGGACTCGATTGGAATGGACTGGAGTGGAATGGACTCGAATGGACTGGAGACGAATGGAATGCAAAGGAATGGAATGGAATGGAATGGAAAGGAATAGAAGGGAATGCAATCGGATGGAACGGAAAGGAATGAAATGCTGTCGAATGGAATACAATCGAATGGAATGGCATCGAAAGGAATGGAATGGAATGGAATGGACTCAAATAGAATGGACTCAAAATGAATGGTCTCAAATGTAATTTATTCGAATAGAATGGAATCGAAAGGAATGCAATAGTATGAAATGGAATCGAATGGAATGGAATTGAACGGAATGGAACGGAATGGAAAGGACTGGAATAGAACCGACACAAATGTAATGGATTGCAATGTAATTGATTCAAATGGAATGGAATCGAATGGAATATCATTGTATTGGATGGAAGGGAATGCAATGGAATGGAATAGAATGCAATGCAAAGGAAAGGAACGGAGTGGAATCAAGTGTACTGGAATTGAATGGAATGGACTAGAAAGGAATGGACTCAAATGGAATGGACTCAAATGGAATAGAATACAATGGAATGGCATCGAATATAATGGAATAGAAAGGATAAGAATGGAATGCAACCAAAAGTAATGGACTCGAAAGGAATGGACTCAAATAGAATACACTCGAATGGAATGGTCTCAAATGGAATTTATTCGAATAGAATGGAATCGAATGGAATGCAATAGTATGGAATGGAGTCGAATAGAATGGAATCGAATGAAGTGGATCGTAATGGAATGGACTGGAACAGAACAGACTCAAATGTAATGGATTGCAATATAATTGACTGGAATGGAATGGAATCGAAAGGAATGTAATCAAAAGTAACAGAATGGAATACAATGGAATGGAATAAAATGTAATGCAATGGAATGGAATGGAGTAGAATCGAGTGAAATGGAATCGAGTGGAATGGAATCGATTGGAATGTACTGGAATGGAGTGGACCGATATGGAATGGACCCGAATGGATAGGACTGGAACAAAATGGAATTAAACACACTGGAAAGGAATGGAACAGAATGGAATGGAATGAACTCGGGTGGCATGGAGTCAAAAGGAATGGAACCGAATGGAATGTAATTGAAAGGAATTGAAAGGAATAGAAGGGAATGAAGTGTAATGGAAAGTTATTGAATGGAATGCAAAGGAAATTAATGGAGTCGAAAGGAATGGACTGGAAAGGAATGAAATCGAATGTAATGGACTGGAGTGGAATGGAAATGAATGGAATGGAAACGAATGGAATGGAATGAAAATGAAGAGAATGGAATGGAATCGGATGGGATGGAATCGAATGAAATGGTGTCGAATAGAATAGAATCAAATGGAATGGCATCGGAAGGAATGGAATGGAATGGAATGGACTCAAATAGAATGGATTCAAAATGAATGGTCTTGAATGTAATTTATTCGAACAGAATGGAATTGAAAGGAATTCAATAGTATGGAATCGAATCGAATGGAATGGAACTGAACGGAATGGAATGCAATGGAAAGGACTGGAATAGAACGGACTCGAATGTAATGGATTGCAATGTAATTGATTCAAATGGAATGGAATCGAATGGAATATCATCGTATGGGATGGAATGGAATGCAATGGAATGGAATAGAAGGCAATGAAAAGGAAAGGAACGTAGTGGAATCGAGTGTAATGGAATCGAATGGAATGGAATCGAATGGAATGGAATCGAATGGAATGTATTGGAACAAAATGGAAATGAACCGACTTGAATTGAATGGAACGGAATGGAGTGTAATGGAATCGAATGCAATGGAATCGAATGGAATGGAATTGAATGGAATAGAAAGGAATAGAATGGAATTGAATGTAATGGAACAATATGGAATGAAATGAAATGGAAAGGAATGGACTCGAATGGAATGGACTGGAAAGGAATGGACTCGAATGGAATGGAATGTACTGGAGTGGATTTGAATGGAATGGATATGAATGGAATACACTGGAATGGAAAAGAATAGAATGGAATGGAATCAGATGGAATGGAATGGACTCAAATGGAATGGACTCAAATTGAATAGAATAGAATGGAATGGCTTCGAATGGAATGGAATGGAGGGGAGTGTAATGGAAAGATAGCGAAAGGAATTTCATGGAATGCAATGGACTCCAATGGAATGGACTGGATTGGAATTTAATGGAATGGAATTGACTGGAGTGGAATGGATTCGAATGGAATGGAATGGAATGGACTTGAATGAAATGGACTGTATTGGAATTTACTCGAATGGAATGGACTGGAGTGAAATGCACTTGAATGGAATGGAAACAAATGGAATGGAATGGAATGGAATGAAAAGGAATAGAATGGAATGGAATCAGATGGAACGGAATGGAATGTAATGGAGTCGAATGGAATAGAATCGAATGGAATTTCATTGAATGCAATGGAATGGACTCGAAAGGAATGGACTCGAATGGAATAGAATACAATGGAACAGCATCGAATATAATGGAATAGAATGGAATGGAATGGAAGGGACTCAAATGTAATGGACTCGAAAGGAATGGACTCAAATAGAATGCACTTGAATGGAATGGTCTCGAATGGAATTTATTCGAATAGAATGGAATCGAATGGAATGCAATAGTATGGAATGGAATCTAATAGAATGGAATCGAAAGAAATGGATCGGAATGGATTGGACTGGAATAGAACGGACTTGAATGTAATGGATTGCAATGTAATTGATTGGAATGGAATGGAATCGAATGGAATGTAATCAAACGTAATGGAATGGAATGCAATGGAATGGAATAAAATGGAATGCAATGGAATGGAATGGAGTGGAATCGAGTGGAATGGAATCGATTGGAATGGAATCAATTGGAATGGACTGGAATGGAATGGACTGTTATGGAATGGACTCAAATGGATAGGACTGGAACAAAATGGAAACGAACGCATTGGAATGGAATGGAATGGAATGGAATGAAGGAATGGAATGGAAAGAACTCTAGTGGAATGGAGTCAAAAGGAATGGAACCAAATGGAATTTAATTGAAAGGAATAGAAAGGAATAGTAAGGAATGAAGTGTAATGGAAAGTTGTCGAATGGAATGCAAAGGAATTTAATGGAGTCGAAGGGAATGGACTGGAATGGAATGGAATTGAATGGAACGGAGTGGAGTGGAATGGACTCGAATGAAATGGAAATGAATGGAATGGAATGGAATGGAATGGAATGGAATGGAATGGAAATGAATGGAATGGAATGGAATGGAATGAAAATGAATACAATGGCATGGAATCGGATGGAATGGAATGGAATGAAATGGACTCGAATGGAATAGAGTCGAATTTAATGGCATCGAAAGGAATTTAATGGAATGGAGTGGATTCGAATGGAATGGACTCGAGTGGAATAGAATAGAATGAAATGGCATCGAATGGAATGGAATGGAATGGAATGGAGTGGACCCAAATGTAATGGACTCAAATGGAATGGACTCAAATAGAATGGACACGAAAGGAATGATGTCGAACGGAATTTATTCGAATAGAATGGAATCGAATGCAGTGCAATAGTATGGAATGTAACCGAATGGAATGCAATCGAATGGAATGGAACAGAATGGAATGGACTTTAATAGAATAGACTCGAATGTAGTGGATTTCAAAGTAATTGACTTGAATGGAAAGGAAGCAAATGGAATGTAATCAAATGTAATACAATGGAATGAAATGGAATGGAATAGAATGGAATGCAATTGAACGAAACAGAGTAGAATGGAGTGGAATGGAATCGAATGGAATTGAATGGACTCGATTAGAATGGAGTAGAATGGAGTGGAATAGAACAGAATGGAAACGAATAGAATGGAATTGAATGGAATCGAAGGGAATAGAATTGAATGGAGTGTAATGGAAAGATATCTAAAGGAATGGAATGGAATGGAATAGCATGGAATTGTCTGGAATGGAAAGGACTCGAATGGAATGGACAGGTGTGGAATGGACTAGAATGGAATGGAAACAAACGGAGTTGTATGGAATGGAATGGAATGAAAAGGAATAGAATGGAATGGATTGTAATGGAATGATATCGAATGGAATGGAATGGGCTCGAATTCAATGGACTGGGATGGAATGGACTCGAATGGAATGGACTGGAGTGGAATGGACACGAATGGAATGGAAACGTATGGAATGGAATGGAATGGAATTGGATGGAAAGGAAAGGCAATGGAATGGAGTTGAATGGAATAGATTCGTATGGAATGACATCAAACGAAATGGAATATAACGCAATGGAATGGAATGGAATGGAATGGAAGGGACTCGAATGGAATGGACTCGAATGGAATAGCATCGATTGGAATGTCATCAAATGGAAGGGACCCAAATGTAATGGACTCGAATGGAATTGACTCAAATATAATGGACTCGAAAGAAATGGTCTCGATTGGAATATATTCGAAAAGAATGGAGTCGAATGGAATGCCATGGTATGGAATGGAATCTAATGGAATGGAATCGAATGGAATAGAACCGAATGGAATGCACTTTAATGGAATGGACTCGAATGGAAGGGAATGGAGTGGAATGGACTCGAATGCAATGGAAACGAATGGAAAGGAAAGGAATGGAAAGGAATAGAATGGAATGGAATTGGATGGAATGGTATGGAAAGGAATGGAATCGAATGGAATAAAATCGAATGGAATGGCATCAAATGGAATGGAATGGAATCGAATGGAATTGAATGGAATCGAATGGAATGGAGTCGAAAGGTATAGAATCAAATGGAATGGCACCGAATGGAATGGAATGGAATGGAATGTAACCAAATGTAATGGACTCGAATGGAATAGACTCAAATAGAATGGACTCAAAAGGAATGGTCTCGAATGGAATTTATTCGAATAGAATGGAATTGAATGGAACGCAACAGTATTGAATGTAATTAAATGAAATGGACCGGAATGGAATAGACTGGAACAGAACGGGCTCAAATGTAACGGAATGCAATGCAATTGATTTGAATTTAGTGGAATCAAACGCAATGAAATCAAATGGAATGGAATGGTTTGCAATGGCATGGAATAGAATGCAATGCAATGGAATGTAACGGAGTGGAATTAAATCGAATGGAATGGATTTGAAAGAATGGAATCAAATGGAATGGACTCGAATGCATTGGAATGGAACAAAATGGAATAGAATGGATTGGAAATGAACGGAATGGAACGGAATGGAATGGAGTGGAATAGACTCGATTGGAGTGGAGTCAAATGGAATTTAACCGAATGGAATGGAATGCAATTGAAAGGAATCAAAATGATTAGAATGGATTGGAGTTTGATGGAAAGATATGGAATGGAATGGAATGCTATGGACTCTAATGGAATGGACTGGAATGTAATACACATGAACGGAATGGACTGGAGTGGAATGGTCTTGAACGGAATGGAATGGAATGGAAAGGAATGGAATGGAATGGAAAGGAATGGAATGCAATGGAATGGAATGGAATGGAATTGGATGGAACGGAATGGAAAGGAATGGAGTTGAATGAAATATAATCCGATGGAATGATATGTAATGGAATTGCATGGAATGGAACGGACTCGAATGGAATGGACACGAATAGAATAGAATAGAATGGAATGGCATCGAATGGAATGGAATGGAATAGAATGGAGTGGACCCAAATGTAATGGACTCCAATGGAATGGACTCAAATAGAATGGAATCAAAAGGAATGGTCTCGAATGGAATTTATTAGAAAAGAATGGAATTGAATGGAATACAGTAGTATGGAATGGAATCGAATGGAACGGTATCGAATGGAAGGGACCACAATGGAATCGAATGGAATAGAATGGACTTGAATGTAATGGATTGCAATACAATAGAATCGAATGGAATGGAATCGAATGGAATGTAATCAAATGGAATTGAATGGAAAGCAATGGAATAGAATATAATGGAATTCAATGGAAAGGAATAGAATGGAATGCAATGGAATGGAACAGAGTGGAATCAAGTGGAATGGAATCGAATGGAATGGAATCGAATGGAATGGACTGGAGAGGAATGCAATTGAATGGAATGGAATTGAACAAAATGGAATTGAAATGATTGGAATCGAACAGAACGGAATGGAAGGGAATGGAATGGAATGGAAAGGAAAGGAATGGAATGGAAAGGAAAGGAATGGAATCAAAACAAATGGAGTCGAATGGAATGGAATCGAATGGAATGGAATCGAATAGAATGGAATTGAATGGAAATGAAAGGAATAGAACGGAATGGAGTGTGATGGAAATATTTCAAATGGATTGGAATGGAATGGACACAAATGGAAGAAGTGGAATGGAATGAACTCGAAGGAAGTGGGTGGGAGTGGAATGAACTAGAATGGATTGGAAACGAATGGAATGGAATGGAACGGAAAGGAATAGAGTGGAAGGGAATCGGATAGAATGGAACAGAATGGAATGGAGACAATGGAATAGAATCGAACGGAATGGCATCGAATGGAATGGAATGGAATGGACTCGAATGGAATGGACTCGAATGGAATAGAATCAAGTGGAATGTCATCGAATGCAATGGAATGTAATGGAATGGACTCGAAACGAGAGGCCTGGAATGGAATGGACTAGAATGGCATGCAAAAGAATCGAATGGAATGGAATGGAATTTAATGGAATGGAAAGTAATAGAATGGAACAGAATCGGATGGAACGGAATGGAATGGAATGGAGTCAAATGGAATAGAATCGAATGGAATGGCATCACGTGGAATGGAATGGAATGGAATGGAATGGACTCTAATTTAATGGAAACGAATGGAAAGGAATGGACTGGAATGGAATGGACTAGAATGGAATAGAATAGAAAGGAATGGCATTGAATGGAATGGAATGGATTGGAATGGAATGGACACAAGTGTAATTGACTCGAATGGAATGGACTCAAATAGAATGGAATCAAAAGGAATGGTCTAGAATGGAATTTATTTGAACAGAATGGAATCGAATGGAATGCAATAGTATGGAAGGGAATCAAATGGAATGGAATTGAATGGAATGGACTGGAATGGAATGGACTGGAATAGAATGGACTCGAAAGTAAAGTATTGCAATGTAATTGATATGAACGGAATGGAATCGAATGGAATGAAATCCAATGGAATGGAAAGGAATGCAATGGAACGCAATAGAATGGAATGCAATGGAATGGAACGAAGTGGAATTTAATGGAATGGAATCAAATGAAATGAAATCGAATAGAATGGACTCAAAAAGAATGGAATGGAATGGAATGGACTCGAGTGTAATGGACTGAAACAAAATGGAATCGAACGGATTGGAATTGAAAGGAACGGAATTGAATGGAATGGAAGAGAATGGACTTGAATGGAATGGAGTCGAATGGAATGGAACCGAATGGAATGGAATTGAAAGGAATCGAAAGGAATAGAATGGAATGGTGTGTCGTGGAAAGATATTGAATGGAATGGAAGGAATGGAAAGGACTCGAATGGAATGGACTGGAATGGAGTGGATTTGAATGGAATGGCCTGGAGTGGCAAGGACTCGAATGGAATGGAAACGATTGGAATGGAATTGAAAGGAATAGAATGGAATGGTATCGGATGGAACTGAATGGAATGGAATGGAGTCGAATGGAATAGAAATGAAGGAAAGGGCATGGAATGCAATGGAATGGAATGGCCTCGAATGAAATGGAATCGAATAGAATAGAATTAAATGGAATGACATAGAATGGAATAGAATGGAATGGAACCGAATGGAATGGAATGGACTCGAATGGTATGGAATCGAATGGAAAGGAAATGAATGAAATGGAATCGAAAGGAATAGAAAGCAATGGAGTGTCATGGAGAGATATCGAATGGAATGGAATGGAGTCGAATGGAATGGACTGGAAGGTAATGGAATCGAATGGAATGGACAGGAGTGGAATGGACTCGAATGGAATGGAAACAAATGGAAACAAATTGAATGGAAGGGAATGAATGGAAAGGAATAGAATGCAATGGAATCGGATGGAAAAGAATGGAATGGAAAGGAGTCGAATAGAATAGGATAAAATGGAATGACATCGAACGGAATGGAATGGAACAGAATGGAATTAAATGGACTCGAATGGAATTGGCTCGAATGGAATAGAATCAAATGGAATGGGATCGAATGGAATAGAATAGACCAAAATGTAATGGACACAAATGGAATAGACTCAAATAATATGGACTCGAAAGTAATGGTCTCGAATGGAATTTATTTGAATAGAGTTGAATCGAATGGAAGGCAATAGTATGGAAAGGAATAGAATTGAATGGAATGGAGTCGAATGGAATGGACTGGAATAGAACGGACTCAAATATAATGGACTGCAATGTAATTGATTCGAATGCAATGGAATCGAATGGAATGTAAGCAAATGGAATGGAATGGAATGCAAAACAATGGAAGAGAATGGAAAGCAATTCAATGGAACAGAGTGGAATCGCGTGGAATGGAATAGAATGGAAGGGAATTGAATGGAAGGCAATCGATTGGAATGGACTGGAAAGGAATAGACTGGAATGTAATGGAATCGAATTGAAAGGAATCGAATAGAATGCAATAGATTGGAATGGACTGGAATGGAATGGACTCGAATGGAATCTACTGGAACTAAATGGAATCGAACGGATTGGAATCGAGCAGAACGGAATGTTATGTAATGGAATGGAATGGACTCGAATGGAATGGAGTCGAATGGAATGGAACAGAATGGAATGGGATCGAATGGAAAGGAATTGAATGGAATCGAAGGGAATAGAATGGAGTGGAGTGTAATGGAAATATTTCAAATGAAATGGAATGGAAAGGACTCAAATGGAATGGACTGGAATGTAATGGACTCGAATGTAATGGACTGGAGAGCAATGGAAACTAAAGGAATGGAAACGAATGGAATGGAATGAAATGAAATGGAATAAAATGGAATGAAATCGGATGGAACAGAATGGAAAGGAATGGAGTTGAATGGAATAGAATCGAAAGGAATGGCATCAAAAGGAATGGAATGGAATGAAGTGGAATGGACTCGAATGGAATGGAGTAGAACGGTAGAGAATCAAATGTAATGGCATCGAAAGGAATAGAATGGAATGGAATCGACCCAAATATAATAGACTCGAAAGGAATCAACTCAAATAGAATGGACTCGAAAGGAATGGTCTCGAATGGATTTTATTCAAATAGAATGGAATCGAATGGAATGCAATAGTATGGAATGGAATCGAGTGGAATGGAATAGAATGGAATGGACCGGAATGGAAAGGCCTGGAATAGAACGGACTCGAATGTAATGGATTGCAATGTAATTGATTGGAATGGAATGGAATTGAATGGGATGTAATCAAATGGAATGGAATGGAATGCAATGGAATACAATAGAATGGAATGAAATGGAAAGGAACGCAGTGGAATAGAGTGGAATGGAATCGAAAGGAATGGAATCCAATGGAATGGTATCTAATGGAATGGACTGGAATGGTATGGACTCGAATGGAATGGACTGGAACAAAATGGAAACAAACGGATTGGAATTGAAAAGAACCGAATGTAATCGAATGGAATGGAATAGAGTCAAATGGAATGGAATCGAAATTATTGGAATTGAATGCAATGGAATTGAATGGAATCGAAAGTAATATAATACAATGGAGTGTAATGGAAAGGTATTGAATGTAATGGAATGGAGTAGAATTGATATAAATGAAATGGACTGGAATGCAGTGGAATGAACACGAATGGAATGCAAACGAATGGAATGGAATGGAATGGAATGGAAAGGAATAGACTGGAATGGAATAGGATGGAATGGAATGAAATGGAATGGAGTCGAATGGAACAGAATCGAATGGAATTGCATCGAATGGAATGGACTGGAATGGAATGGAAATGACTCGAATGAAATGGAAACAAGTGGAATGGAATGGAATGGAATAGAATGGAATGGAATCGGATGGAAAGGAATGGAAAGGAATGGAATGGAGTCGAATGGAATAGAATCGAATGGAATGGAATGGAATGGACTCGAATGGAATGGACCCGAATGAAACAAAATCGAATGGAATGGCATGGAATGGAATGGAATGTAACGGAATGGAATGGAATTGTATGGAATGGAATGGAATGGAATGGAATGGAATAGAATGGGATGCAATGGACAGGAACGGAGTGGAGTTGAGAGAAAGAAATCAAATGGAAATGAATCGAATGAAATGGATTTGAATGGAAAGGAGTGTAATGGGATGGACTCGAATGGAATGGACTGGAACAAAACGGAATCATCCGGATTGGAATAGACAGGCACTGAATGGAATGGAATGGACTCGAATGGAATGGAATCGAATGGAATGGATTTGAATTGAATGCAAAGGAATAGAATGGAATGGAGTCTAATGGAAAGATATCGAATGGAAAGGATTGGAATGGAATGGACTCGAATGGAATGGACAGGAATGGAGTGGACACGAATGAAATGTAGTGGAATGCAATGTACCCCAATGGAATGGAAAAGAATGGAATGGAATGGAATGGAATGGAAAGGAATAGAATGGAATGGAATTGGATGAAATGGAAGGGAAAGGAATGGAGTCGAATGGAATAGAATCTAATGGAAAGTTATTGAATGGAATGGAATGGAATCGAATGGAATGGAATCGAATGTAATAGAATCGAATGGAATGGAAGTGAACGGAATCGAATGGAATGGAATGTTATGGAGTGATATGGAAAGATATAGAATGGAATGGAATGGAGTCGAAAGGAATGGACTGTAATGGAATGGACGCGAATGAAATGTCATGGAATGGAATGTACCCCAATGGAATGGAAACGAATGGAATGGAAAGGAATAGAATGGAATGGAATTGGATGGAATGCAAGGGAATGGAATGGAGTTGAATGGAATAGAATCGACTGGAAAGTCATTGAATGGAATGCAATGGAATCGAATGGAATGGAATCCAATGTAATAGAATCAAATGGAATGGAATTGAATGGAATCGAATGGAATGGAATGGTACAGAGTTTTATGGAAATATATAGAATGGAATGGAATGGACTCGAATGCAATGGACTGGAATGGAATGGACTCGAATGGAATGTACTAGAATGGAAAGGACTCGAATGGAATGGAAACGAATGGAAAGGAACGGAAGGGAAAGGAATAGAACAGAATGTAAATGGATGGAATTGAATGGAAAGGAATGGAGTCTAATGGAATGGACCCTAATGGAATGTATTCGAATGGAAAGGACAGGAGTGGAATGGAATCGAAGGCAGTGCAAACGAATAGAATGAAATGGAATGGAATGGAATGGAAAGGAATGGAATTGAAAGGAATACATTGGAATGGAATCTGATGGAATGGAATTAAATGAAATGGAGTCTAATGGAAAAGAATCAAGTTTAATGACATCAAATTAAATGGAATGGAATCGAATGGAATGGAATTGAATGGAATGGAATTGAATGGAATGGACTCTAATGGAATGGACTCGAATGGAATGGACTGCAACAAAGTGGAATCTAAAAGATTAGAATGGAACGGAACGAAATGGAATGGAATGGAATGGAATGGACTCGATTGGAACGTAGTCGAATGGAATGGGATTGATTGGAATGGAATCGAACACAACGAAATTGAACGGCTTTGAAAGGAATAGAATGGAATGGAGTGTAATGTAAAGATACCGAATGGAATGGAATGGACTCGAATGTTATGGACTTGAATGGAATTGACTCGAATGGAAAGGACTGCAGTGGAATGGACTGGAATGGAAGGGAAACGACTGGAATGGAATGCAATGGAATGGATTGGAATGGAATAGAATAGAATGGAATTGGATGGAAAGGAATGGAATGGAATGGAGTCAACAGTAATGTAATCAAATGAAATGGAATGAAATGGACTCGAATTGAATGGACTCAAATGGAATTGAATGGAATGGAATGTCATTGAATGGTATGGATTGGAATGGAATTGAATGGAATGGAATCGAATGGAATGGACTGGAATGGAATGGAATGGAATAGGAAATATACGAATGTAATGAATTGAAACGTAATTGATTCAAATGGAATGGACTCAAAAGGAATGGTCTTTAATGGAATTTATTCGAAAAGAATGGAATCGAATGGAATGCAGTAGTACGGAATGGAATGGAATGGAATGGAATAGGAAATATATGAATGTAATGAATTGAAACGTAATTGATTCGAATGGAATGGACTCAAATGGAAAGTAATTAAATGGAACAGAATGGAATGCAATGGAATGGAATACAATGGAATGCAATGGAATGGAACAGAGTGGAATTGAGTGGAATGGAATGGAATGGAATGGAATAGAATGGAATTAAATGGAATGGACAGGAACAAAATGGAAACAAAAGGACTGGAATCGAATGGAATGGAATTGACTCCAATGAAATGGAATTGAATGGAATGGAACTGAATGGAATGGAATTGAATGGAGTGGAATTGAATGGAATTGAAAAGAATAGAATGGAGTGGAATGTATTGGAAATATATCGAATGGAATGGAATGGAACGGACTCGAATGGAATGGACTGGAATATACCGGGCACGAATTTAATGGATTGTAGTGGAATGGACACGAATGGAATGGAAATGAAAGGAATACAAGGGAATGGAATTGAAAGGAATGGAATTCAATAGGATGTAATGGAATGGAATGGAATGGAGAGGAAGGGAATAGAATCAAATGGAATGGCATCAAATGGAATGGAATTTAATGGAATGGACTCGAATGGAAATGACTGGAACAAAATGGAATGGAAAGGGCTGGAATTGAATGGAATGGAATGGAATGGAAAGGAAGGGAATACAATGGAATGGAGTAGAATGGAATGGAACCAAATGGAAAGGAATCAAATGGAATGGAATTGAATTGAATCAAATAGAATAGAATGGAATGGAGAGTAATGGAAAGATACCGAATGGAATGGAATGGAATGGAATGGAATGGAATGGAATGGAATGGAATGGACTCGAATGGAATGGACTTGAATGGAATGTACTCGAATGTAATGGACTGGACTGGAATGGACTCAAAGGGAATGGAAAAGAATGGAATGGAAGGGAATGGAATTGAAAGGAATAGAATGGAACAGAATTGGATGAAATGGAATGGAATGGAATTGAGACGAATGGAATAGAATTGAATGGAATGGCATCAAAAGAATGGAATTCAATGAAATGGAGTGGACTCGAATGGAATAGAACAGAATGGAATGGTATCGAATGGAATGGAACAGAATGGAATGGAATGGAATGGAATGGAATGGAATGGAAGGGAATGGAATGGATTGGACCCAAATATAATGGACTAGAATGGAGTGGACTCAAATAGAATGGACTCGGAAGGAATGGTCTCAAATGGAATTTATTCGAATAGAATGGAATCGAAAGGAATGGATTCAAATGGAATGGACCGGAATGGAATGGACTGGAATAGAACAGACTTGACTGTAAGGGATTGCAATGTAACTGATTTGAATGGAACTGATTCAAATGTAATATAATCAAATGGAATGGAATGGTATGAAATGGAAGGGTGAAGAATGGAATGCAATAAAATGGAAGGGAGTGGAATCGAGTGGAATGGAATGGAATTGAGTGGAACAGAATCAAATGGAATGGACTGAAATGGAACAAACTGGAATAGAATGGACTAGAATAAAATGGAATCGAACGGATTGGATTCAAATGGATCAGAAGGGAATGGAATGGAATGGAATCGAATGGCATGGAGTCGAATGGAATGGAACTGAAAGGAATGGAAACAAATGGAATGGAGTTGAATGGAATTGAAAGAAAAGGATGCTATGGAGTGTAATGGAGAGATATCGAATGGAATGGAATGGAAGGGACTCGAAGGGAACGGAGTTGAAAGGAATGGAATCGAATGGAATCGAATTGAATAGAATTGAAAGGCATAGAATAGAATGGAATGGAATGGAAAGATATCGAATGGAAGGGAATGGAAAGGAATGGATTCAAATGGAATGGATTTGAATGGAATGGACTTGAACGGAAAGGACTGGAATGGAAAGGACTGCAATGATATGCACTGGAGTGGAATAGACGGGAATGGAAGGGAAACGAATGGAATGGAATGGAAAGGAATAGAATGGATTGAAATTGGATTTAACGGAATGGAATGGAATGGATTTCAATGGAAGAGAGTCGAATGGAATGGCATCAAATGGAATGTAAATGAATGTAATGGAAGGGGGTGCGCTCAAATGGAATGGATGGGAATGGAATAGAATAGAATGGAATGGCATTGAAAGGAACGGAATGGAATGGAATGGAATGGAATGGAAAGGAATGGAGTGGAATGGAATGGAGTGGACTGAAATGTTATGTACTCAAATGGAATGGACTCAAATAGAATGCACTCGAAAAGGATTGGTCTTGAATGAAATTTATTCGAATAGAATGGATTCGAATGCAATGCAATACTATGGAATCAAATAGAATGGAATAGAATTGAAAGGAATGTAATCAAACGGAATGGAAGGGAATGCAATGGAATGGAATAGAATGGAATGCAATGGAATGGAAAGGAGCAGAATCGAGTGTAATGGAATCGAATAGAATGGAATCAAATGGAATGTAATCAATTGGAATGTACGCGAATGTAATGGATTCGAATGGATTATACTGGAAAATAATGGAGTCAAACAGATTGGAATCTAACGGAACAGAATGGAATGGAATGGAATGGAATGGAATAGAATGGAATTGAATGGATTCGAAAGAATAGAATGGAATGCTGTGTAATGAAAAGAAATAGAATGGAATGGACTTGAATGGAATGTACTGGAATTGAATGGACTCGAATGGAATGGACTGGAGTGGAATAGACTCAAATGGAATGGAAAAAATGGAGTGGAATGGAGTAGAATGTGGTGGAATGGAATGAAAAGGAATAGAATGGAATGGAGTCGGATGCAATGGAATTGAATGGAAACGAAATTAATAGAATGGAATGGAGTGTAATGGAAACACATCAAATGGAATGGAATGGAATGGACACGAAAGGAATGGACTGGAATGGAGTGGCCTCGAATGGAATGGAAACGAATGGAATGGAGTGGAATGGAATGGAATGGAATGGGATGGAGTGTAATGGAAACATATCGATTGGAATGGAATGGAATGGAATGGAATGGACTCGAGAGTAATGGACTGGAATGGAATGGCCTCGAATGGAATGGAAATGAATGGAATCAAATGGAATGGAATGGAATGGAATGGAATGGAATGGAATGGAATCAAATGGAGTGGAATTGAAAAGAATAGAATGGAATGGAATCGGCTGGAACGGAATGGAATGGATGGAGTCGAATGGATTACAATCGAATGCAATGGCAACAAGTGGAATTGAATGGACTCGAAGGGAATAGAATTGAATGGAGTGGCATAGAATGGAATGGAATTGAATGGACCCAAGTGTAATGGACTCTAAAGGAAAGGACTCAAATAGAATGGACTGAAAATAAATGGCCTCGAATGGAATTTATACAAAAAGAATGGAATCGAATGGAATGCAATAATATAGAATGGAAACGACGGGAATGGAATCAAATGGAATGCACCGGAATGGAATGGACTGGTATAGATCGGACTCAAATGTAATGGATTGAAATGTAATTGATTCAAATGAAATGGAATCGAATGGAATGTAATCAAATGGAATGGAATGGAATGCAATGCGATCGAATAGAATGGAATGCAATGGAATGGAACGAAGTGCAATCGAGTGGAATGGAATCAAATGAAATGGAATCGAATTAAATGGACTGGAATGGAATGTTGTGGAATGGAATGAACTGGAGTGGAATGGACTCAAATGGAATGGAAACGAATGGAATGGCATGGAATGGAGTGGAACAGAATGGAATGGAAAGGAATAGCATGGAATGGAATGGAATGGAATGGAATCAAATGTAACGGAAAGGAAGGCAATGGAATGGAATAGAATGGAATGCAATGGAATGGAACGGAGTGAAATCGAATGTAATGGAATCGAATGGAATGGAATCGAATGGAATGGAATCGATTGGAATGGACTGGAATGTAATGGACTCGAATGGTTTGCACAAAAAAAATGGAATCGAACAGATTGGAATCGAACGGAACGGAATGGAATGGAATGGAATGAAATGGAATGGACTCCAATGTAATGGAGTCGAATGGAATGGAATGGAATGGAATGGAATGGAATATAATGGAATTGAATGAAATTGAAAGGAATATAATGGAATGGAAGGGAATGGAAAGAAATCGAATGGAATGGAATGGAATGGACATGAATGGAATGTACTGTAATAGAATGTACTCGAATGGAATGGACTGGAGTCGAATGGACTCGAATGGAATGTAAAGGAATGGAATGTAAAGGAATGGAATGGAATGGAATGGAATGGAAAGGAATAGAATGGAATGCAATCGGATTGAATGGAATGCAATGGAATGGAGTTGAATGGAATAGAATCGAATGGAATGGCATCAAATGGAATGGAATGGAATGAACTGGAATGTAATGGAATGTAAACAAATGTAATGGAGTTGAATGGAATGGACTCAAATATAATGAACTCAAAAGGAATGTCTCGAAAGGAATTCATTCGAATCGAATGGAATCGAATGGAATGCAATAGAAGGGAATCGAATGGAATGGAGTGCAGTTGAATGGAATGGAACGGAATGGAATGGACTGGAATAGAAAGGACTCGAATGTAATGGATTGCAATGTAATTGATTCGAATGGAATGCAATCAAATGTAATGTAATCAAATGGATTGGAAAGGAATGCAATGGAATGGAATAGAACGGAATTCAATGGAATGTGACGGAGTAGAATCGAGTGGAATGGAATCTAATGCAATGGAATCAAATGGAATGGATTCGAATGGAATGGACTGGAATGGAATGGACTCAAATGTAATGGACTTGAATAAAATGGAATCAAATGGATTGGAATCAAACAGAACGGAATGTAATGTAATGTAATGGAATGGAATGGAATGGAATGGAATGGAATGGAATGGAATGGAGTGGAAGGACTCTAATGGAATGGAAACGAATGTAATGGAATGGAATTGAATGCATTGGAATGGAATGAAATAGCATAGAATGGAATGGAGTTGGATGGAATGGAATGGAATGGAATGGAGTCAAAAGGAATAGAATCGAATGGAATGGCATTGAATGGAACAGAATGGAATGGAATGGAATGGAAAGAACTCGAATGGAATGGACTCAAATGGAAAAAAATGGAATGGAATGGCATGGAATGGAATGGAATAGAATGGAATGGAGCGGAATGGACCCAAAAGTAATGGACCCGAAAGGAATGGACTCAAATAGAATGGACTCGAGGGTAATGGTCTCGAATGGAATTTATTCAAAAAGAATGGAATCGAAAGGATTGCAATAGTGTGGAATGGAATCGAATGTAATGGAATCGAATGCAATAGACTGGAATTCAATGTACTGGAATAGAATGGACTCGAATGTAATGGATTGCAATGTAATTGATTCAAATGGAAAGGAATCGAATGGAATGTGATCAAGTGGAATAGAAGGGAAAGCAATGGAATGGAACAGAATGGAATGCAATGGAATGGAACAGAGTGAAATCGAGTGGAATGGAATAGAATGGAAAGGAATCAAATGGAATGGAATCGAATGTAATGGACTGGAATGGAATGGACTGGTAGAAAATGGAATCGAATGGATTGGAATCGAGCAGGACCAAATGGAATGGAATGGAATGTCCTCGAATGGAATGGACTGCAATGGAATGTACTGGAAAAAAATGGAATCGAATGGATTGGAATCGAGTGGAATGGAAGGGAATGAAATGGAATGGACTCGAATGGAATAGAGTTGAACGGAATGGAATGGAATGGAATGGAATGGAATGGAATAGAATGGAATCAAAAGGAATAAAATGGAATGGAGTGTAAAGGAAAGATATCGAATGGAATGGAATGCAATGGACCCGAATGGAATGGACTCAGATGAAATGGACTGGAGAGGAATGGTCTCAAATGTAATGGAAACGAATGTACTGGAATGGAATGGAATGGAATGGAAGGGAAAGGAATAGAAGGGAATGGAATCAGATGGAAGGGGATGGAATGGAATGGATTCAAATGGAATGGACTTGAATGGAATAGAATAGAATGGAATGTCATCGAACGGAATGGAAATGAAGGGAGTGTAATGGAAAGATATCAAATGGAATTTAATGGAATGGAATGGACTCGAATGGAATGTACTTCATTGAAATTTACTCGAATAGAATGGACTGGAGTGGAATGGACACGAATGGAGTGGAATGGAGTGGAATGGAATGGAATGGAAAGGAATAGAATGGAATGGAATCACATGGGTCAGAATGGAATGGAAAGGAGTCGAAAGGAATAGAATTGAATAGAATGGGATTGAATGGAATGGAATGGAATGGACTCGAATGGTATGGACTCGAATGGAATAGAATACAATGGAATGACATCGAAAGGAATGGAATTGAATGGAATGGATTGGAATGGAATGGAATGGCATGGAACCAAATGTAATGGACTCGAAAGGAATGCAATCAAATAGAATGGTCTCGAAAGGAATTGTCTCAAATGGAATGTATTCGAATAGAATGGAATCGAATGGAATGCAGTAGTATGGAATAGAGCCGAATGGAATGGAATCGAATGAAATGGACCGGAATGGAATGGACTGGAATAGAATGGACAAGAATGTAATGGATGGCAATGGAATTGATTGGAATGGAATGGAATCAAAAGGAATGTAAACAAATGAAATGGAATGGAATGCAATGGAAAGCAATAAAGTGGAATGCAATGTAATGGAACGTAGTGGAATCGAGTGGAATGGAATCGAATGGAATGGAATCGATTGGAAAGGAGTGGAATGGAATGGACTCGAATGGATAGGACTGGAACAAAATGTAATCGAATGCATTGGAATGGAACGGAACGGAATGGAATGGAATGGAATGAACTCGAGTGAAATGGAGTCGAATGGAATGGAACTGAATGGAATGGAATTGAATGCAATTGAAAGGAACAGCATGGAATGGAGTGTAATGGAAAGGTATCGAATGGAATGGAATGGAATTTAGTGGAATCGAACGGAACGGACTGGAATGGAATGGAATCGAATGGAACGGACTGGAGTGGAATGGACCCGAATGGAATGGAAACAAATGGAATGGAATGGAAAGGAATAGAATGGAATGGAATCGGATGGAACAGAATGGAATGAAATGGACTCGAAGGGAATAGAATCTAATGGAATGACATTGAATGGAATTTAGAGGAATGGAATGGAATGGAATGGAAAGGACACGAATGGAGTGGACTCGAGTAGAATAGAATAGAATGGAATGTCATCGAATGGAATGGAATCGAATTAATGGAATGGAATAGACCGAAATGTAATGGACTGCAATGGAATGGACTCAAATAGAATGGACTCGAAAGAATGGTCTCAAATGGAATTTATTCGAATAGAATGGAATCGAATGCAATGCAATAGTAAGGAATGGAATCGAATGGAATGCAATCGAACCGAATGGAACAGAATGGAATGGACTGGAATGGAATGGACTCGAACGTAATGGATTTCAAAGTAATTGATTCGAATGGAATATAATCAAATGGAATGGAAAGGAATGCAATGGAATGGAATAGAATGGAATGGAATGGAAAGTAATGGAATCGAGCAGAATGGAATCGAATGCAATTTAATTGAATGCAATGGAATCGAATGGAACGGACTGGAATGGAATGGACTCGAATGGAATGGACTGGAATAAATTGGAATGGAACGGCTTCGAATCAAATTGAACGCAATGGAATGGAATGGAATGGAATGGACACGAATGGACACGAATGGAATGGAGTCGAATGGAGTGGAATAGAACGGAATCAAATCGAATAGAATGGAATTCAATGGAATTGAAGGGAATAGAATGGAATGCAGTGTAATGAAAGATATCTTATGGAATGGAATGGAATGGACTCGCATGGAATTGTCTGGAATGGAATGGTATCGAATGGAATGTACTAGAGTGGAATGCACTAGAATGTAATGGAAACAAACGGAATGGTATGGAATGGAATGGAATAGTAAGGAATAGAATGGAATGGAATAGGATGCAATGGAATAGAATGGAATGGAGTCAAATGGAATAGAAACGAAAGGAATGGCATCAAATGGAAAGGAATGGAATGGAATGGAATGGAAAGGAATGGACTCGAATGGAATGGACTCGAATGGAATCGAATCAAATGGAATGTCATCAAAAGGAATGGAATGTAATGGACCCAAATGTAACGGACTCGAATGGAATGGACTCAAATAGAATGAACTCGAAAGAAATGGTTTCGAAAGGAATATAATCGAATAGAAAGGGATCGAATGGAATGCAATTTTATGGAATGGTATCTGATGGAATGGAATCGAAAGGAATGGAATGGAATGCAATGGACTGGAATAGTACGGACTCGAATGTAATGGATTGCAATAAAACTAATTCGAATGGAATGGAATCAGATAGAATGTAATTGAAAGGAATGGAATATAATGCAATGGAATGGAATAGAATGGAATGCAATGGAATGGAATAGAATGGAATGCAATGGAATGGAAGGGAGTGGAATCGAGTGGAATGGAATCGAATGGCAAGGAATCGAATGGAATGGACTCGAATGGAATGGACTCGAATGGAATAGACAGGAACAAAATGGAATAGAAAAGATTGGAATTCAACGGAATGGACTCGATGGGAATGGAGTCAAATGGAATGGAATGGAGTAGAATGGAATTGAAAGGAATGGAGTATAATGGAGAGATATCAAATGGAACGGAATGGAATGGACAAGAATGGAATGGACTGCAGTGGAATGGACTCGAATGGAATGGAAAGGAATGGAATGGAAAGGAAAGGAATGGAATGGAATGGAATAGAATGGAATGGAAAGGAGTCGAATGGAATGGAATCAATTGGAATGTCATCATATGGACTGGAATGGAATGCAATGGACTCGAATGGAATGGACTGGAATGGAATTGAATGGAGTGGAAAGGCATTGAATGGAATGGAATGCAATGGAATGGAATGGAATGGAATGGAATGGACCCAAATGTAATGGATTCGAATGGAATCAACTCAAATAGAATGGATTCAAAAGGAATGATCTCGAATGGAATTTATTCGAAAAGAATGGAATTGAATGGAAATCAATAGTATGGAATGGAATCAAATGGAATGGATTCGAATGGAATGGAACGGAATGGAATAGATTGGAATAGAATGGAGTAGAATGTAATGGATTGCATTGTAATTGATTCGAATGGAATGGAATCGATGGAAATTTTTCAAATGGAATTGATGGAATGCAATGGAATGGAATAGAAAGAAATGCAGTGTAATGGAACGGAGTGGAATCGAGTGGAATGGAATGGAGAAAAATGGAATCGAATGGAATGTAATCTAATGGAATTGAGTCGAATGGAATTGACTGGAAAAAAATGGAATCGAATGGATTGCAATCAAATGGAACGGAAAAGAATGGAATAGATTGCACTCTAATGGAATGGAGTCGAATGGAATGGAACCGAATGGAATGGAATTAAATAGAATGGAATTGAACGGAATCAAATGGAATAGAATGGAATGGAGTGAAATGGAGTGATATTGAATGGAATGGAACGGACTTGAATGAAATGGACTGGAATGGAATGGAACCTAATGGAATGGAATTCAATGGAATCAAAAGGAAAAGAACGGAATGGAGTGTAATGGAAAGATATCAAATGGAATGGAATGGAATTGAATGGAATGGAGTCGAATGGAATGGACTTTAATGGAATGGACTCAAATCGAATGGACTGAAGTGGAATGGGCTCGAATGGAATGGAAACGAATGGAATGGAAAGGAATAGAATGGAATGGAATTGGATGAATGGAATGGAATGGAGTCGAATGGAAGAGAATCGAATGGAATGGCATCAAATGGAATGGAATGGAATGGAATGGAATGGACTCGAATGGAGTAGAATCGAATGGAATGGCACTGAATGGAACGGAATGGAATGGAATGGAATGGACCCAAATGTAATGGACTCGAATGGAATAAACTCAAATAGAATGGACAAGAAAGGAATGGTCTTGAATGGAATTTATTCGAATAGAATGGAATTGAATGGAATGCAATAGTATGGAATGTAACTGAATGGAATGGACCGGAAAGGAATAGACCGGAATAGAACGGACTCGAATGTAATGGAATGCAATGCAACGCAACGGATTTGAATGGTATGGAATCGAATGGAATGAAATCAAATGGAAAGTAAGTGTATGCAATGGAATGGAACAGAATGCAATGCAATGGAATGGAACGGAGTGGAATCGAGTGGAATTGAATCGAATGGAATGAAATTGAATGGAATGGACTGGAATGGAATGGACTCGAATGGATTGGACTGGAACAAAATGGAATTGAAAGGATTGGAATCGAACAGAACGGAATGGAATGGAATGGAATGGACTCGATTGGAATGGAGTCAAACGGAATGAAACCGAACAGAATGAATCGAATTGAATGGACTTGAATGGAATCGAAATGAATAAAATGGATTGGAGTGTGATGGAAAGATATGCAATGGAATGGAATGCAATGGACTCGAAGTTAATGGACTGGAATGGAATGTAATTGAATGGAATGGACTGGAATGGAATGGTCTCGAAATGAATGGAAACGAAATGAATGCAATGGAATAGAATGGAATGGAATTGAATGGAAAGGAATTGGTTTGGAACTGAAAGGAATGGAATGGAGTCAAATGTAATATAATCCAACAGAATGATATTGAATGGAATGGAATGCAATGGAATGGAATGGAATAGAATGGAATGGAATGGACCCAAATGTAATGGACTCGAATGGAATGGACTCAAATAGAATGGACTCAAAGGGAATGGTCTCGAATGGAATTTATTTGAATAGACTGGAATAGAATGAAATGCAATAGTATGGAACGGAATCGAATGGAATGGAAGTGAATGGAAAGGACTGGAATGGAATGGACTGGAATAGAACAGACTCAAATGTAATGGACTGCAATATAATAGAATCGAACGGAATGGAATCGAATGG
The DNA here is from genome assembly GCF_000001405.40 of Homo sapiens. Classification (NCBI taxonomy): domain Eukaryota; kingdom Metazoa; phylum Chordata; class Mammalia; order Primates; family Hominidae; genus Homo; species Homo sapiens. Next base: position 52,198 of record NT_187511.1, on the reverse strand, counting down.
AATGTAATCAAATGGAATTGAATGGAATGCAATGGAATGGAATATAATGGAATGAAATGGAATGGAATATAATGGAATGCAATGGAATGGAATGGAATGCATTGAAATGGAACAGAGTGGAATTGAGTGGAATGGAATCGAAAAGAATGGAATTGAATGGAATGGACTGGAATGGAATGTACTTGAATGGAATGGATGTGAACAAAATGGAATCGAAAGCATTGGAATGGAATGGAATGGAATGGAATGGAAAGGAATGTGATGGACTCGAAACTAATGGAGTTGAATGGAATGGAATCAAATGGAATGGAATTGAATAGAAAGGAATTGAATGGAAATGAAATGAATAGAACGGAAGGGAGTGTGATGGAAAGATTTCGAATGGATTGGAATGGAATGGACACGAGTGGAACGAAGTGAAATGGAATGGACTCGAAGGGAAAGGACTGGAGTGGAATGGACTCGAATTGATTGGAAATCAATTGCATGGAATGAAATGGAATGGAATGGAAAGGAATACAGTGGAATGGAATCGGATGGAACAGAATGGAATGGAACGGAGACAAATGGAATAGAATCGAATGGAATGGCATCGAATGGAATGGAATGGAATGGACACGAATGGAATGGATGCAAATGGAATAGAATCGAATGGAATGGCATCGAATGGAATGGAATTTAATGGAATGAACTCGAATGGAATGGACTGGAATGGAATGGACTCGAATGACATGGAAAAGAATGGAATGGAATGAAAGGAATGGAATGGAAAGGAATAGAATGGAATGGAACCAGATGGATCAGAATGGAATGGAATGCAGTCAAATGGAATGGAAAGGAATGGAATGGAATGGAAAGGAATAGAATGGAATGGAATCAGATGGATCAGAATGGAATGGAATGCAGTCAAATGGAATAGAATAGAATGGAATGGAATCGCATGTAATGGAATGGAATGGAATGGAATGGAATGGACTAGAATGGAATGGAAACGACTGGAATGGAATGGAATGGACTAGAATGGAATAGAATAGAAAGGAATGGCATCGAATTGAATGGAATGGATTGGAATGGAATGGACACAAATGTAATGGACTCAAATAGAATGGACTCAAATAGAATGTACTTGAAAGGAATGGTCTCGAATGGAAATTATTTGCACAGAATGGAATCGAATGGAATACAGTGTTATGGAATGGAATTGAATGGAATTGAATCGAATGGAACGGAACATAATGGAATGGACTGGAATAGAACAGACTCAAAAGTAATGGATTGCAATGTAATTGATTTGAATGTAATGGAATTGAATGAAATGTAATCAAATGGAACAGAATGGAATGCAATGGAATGGAATACAATGGAATGCAATGGAATGGAATGAAGTGGAATTGAATGGAATGGAATCGAATGAAATGAAATCGAATGGAATAGAATCAAATGGAATGGACTGAAATGGAATGGACTCGAATGTAATGGACTGGAAAAAAATGGATTAGAATGGATTGGAATTGAACCGAAAGGAATGGAATGGAATGGAATGGAAGAGCAAGGACTTGAATGGAATGGAGTCGAATGGATTGGAACCGAATGGAATGGAATTGAATGGAATCGATAGGAATAGAATGGAATGGTGTGTTGTGGACAGATATCAAATGGAAGGGAAGGAATGGAATGGACTCGAATGGAATGGACTGGAATGGAGTCGACTCAAATGGAATAGACTGGAGTGGCAACGACTGGAATGGAACAGAAACGAATGGAATGGAAAGAAAAGGAATAGCATGGAATGGTGTCACATGGAAATGAATGGAATAGAATGGAGTCGAATGGAATAGAATCGAAAGGATTGGCATCGAATGGAATGGCCTCGAATTGAATGGAATTGAAAGGAATAGAATTAAATGTAATGGCATCGAATGGAAGGGAATGGAACCAAATGGAATGGAATGGTTTTGAATGGTATGGAATCAAATGGAAAGGAAATGAATGAAATGGAATTGAATGGAATCAAAAGGAATAGAATGCAATGGAGTGTCATGGAAAGATATTGAATGGAATGGAATGGACTGGATTCGAATGGAATGGACTGGAATGGAATGGACTCGAATGGAATGAACTGGAGTGGAATGGACTCAAATGGAATGGAAACGAACGGAATGGAATCAAATAGAATGGAAAGGAATAGAATGGAATGAATGGAAGTGGATGGAAAGGAATGGAATGGAATGGACTCGAATAGAACAGGAGCCAATGGAATGACATGGAATGGGAAGGAAAGGAATGGAATGGAATGGAATGGAATGGAATGGAATGGACTCGAATGGAATTGGGTCGAAAGGAATAGAATTGAATGGAATGGCATCGAATGGAATGGAATGGAATGGAATAGACCAAAATGTAATGGACAGAAATATAATGGACACAAATAATATGGACTAGAATGCAATGGTCTCGAATGGAATTTATGCGAATAGAATTGAATCAAATGGAAAGCAATAGTATGGAATGGAATCGAATGGAATAGAATCGAATGGAAGGGACTGGAATGGAATGGACTGGAATAGAACTGACATGAATGTAATGGACTACAATGTAATTTATTCGAATGCAATGGAATCAAATGGAATGTAATCAAATGGAATAGAATGGAATGCAATGGAATGGAAGAGAATGGAATGCAAAGGAATGGAATGGGGTGGAATCGCGTGGACTGGAATACAATGGAAGGGAATCGAATGGAATGCAATGGATTGGAATGGACTGGAATGGAATGGACCCCAATGGAATCGACTGGAATTAAATGGAATCAAACAGATTGGAATCAAACAGAACAGAATGTAATGGAATGGAATGGACTCAAATAGAATGGAGTCGAATGGTATGGAACCGAATGGAATGGGATCGAATGGAATGGAATTGAATGGAATCATAGGGAATAGAATGGAGTAGAGTGTAATGGAAATATATCGAATGGACACGAATGGAATGGACTGGAATGGAATGGACTCGGATGGAATGGACTGGAGAGGAATGGACCATAATGGAATGGAAGCGAATGGTATGGAATGGAATGGAATGGGATGGAATGGAATGGAATGGGATGGAATGGAATGGAATGAAATGGAATCGGATGGAACGGAATGGAATGGAATGGAGTCGAATGGAATAGAATCGAATGGAATGGTATGAAAAGGAATGGAATGGAATGGAATGGAATGGAACAGACTCAAATGGAATGGACTCGAATGGAAGAGAATCAAATGGAATGGCATCGAATGGAATGAAATGGAATGGAATGGACCCAAATATAATGGACTCGAAAGTAATGGTCTCAAATGGATTTTATACGAATAGAATGGAATCGAATGGAATGCAATAGTATGGAATGGAATCGAATGGAATGGATTGGAATGGAATGGACTGGAATAGAACGGACTCGAATGTAATGGATTGCAATATAATTGATCCAAATGGAATGGAAACGAATGGGATGTAATCAAATGGAATGTAAAGGAATGCAATGGAATGCAATAGAATGGAATGCAAAGGAATGGAATGGAGTGGAATAGACTGGAATGGAATGGAAAGGAATGGAATCCAATGTAATGGTACCTAATGGAATGGATTGTAATGGTATGAACTCGAACGGAATGGACTGGACCAAAACGGAAACGAATGGATTGGAATCGAACGGAATGGAATGGAATCAAATGGAATGGAATGGCGTCAAAATGAATGGAACCGAATGGAAAGGAAACGAATAGAATGGAATTGAATGGAATCGAAAGGAATAGAATGCAATGGAGGGTAATGGAAAGATATCGAATGGAATGGAATGGAATGGAATGGAATGAAACGGCCTGGAATGGAATGGACTCGAATGGAACGGACTGGAGTGGAATGGATTCGAAAGGAGTGGAATGGAATGGAAGGGAAGGGAATGGAATGGAAAGGAATAGACGGGCATGGAATAAGAAGGAACGGAATGGAATGGAATGGAGTTGAATGGAATACAATCGAAAGGAATTGCATTGAATGGAATGGACTGGAATGGAATGGAGCTGACTCGAATGAAATGGAAACGGATGTAATGGAATGTAATGGAATGGAATGGAAAGGAATAGAATGGAAGGGAATCGGATGGAACAGAATGGAATGGAATGGAGTCGAATGGAATAGAATTGAATCAAATGGCATCGAACGGAATGGCATCGAATGGAATGCAATGGAATGGACTCGAATGGAACAGCATCGAATGGAATGGACTCGAATGGAATGGACTCGAATAGAACAGCATCGAATGGAATGACATCGAATGGAATGGAATGGAATGGAATGGAATGGAATGGAATGGAGTGGAATAGAATGGGATGCAACGGAAAGGAATGGAGTGGAGTTGAGTGGAAAGAAATCGAATGGAAACAAATAGAATGGAATGGATTCGAATGGAATGGAGTGGAATGGAATGGACTCGAATGAAATGGAATGGAACAAAATGGAATCGTACAGATTGGAATCGAATGCCATGGATTGGAATGGAATGGACTCTAATGGAATGGAATCGAATGGAATGGAATCAAATGGAATGGAATTGAATGGAATACAAAGGAATAGAATGGAAAGGAGTGTAATGGAAATATATTGAATGGAAAGGAATGGAATGGAATGGACTCAAATGGAATAGACTGGATTTAAATGGATTCGAATGGAATGGAGTCCAGTGGAATGGACTCGAATGGAAAGAAAAAATGGAATGGAATGCAATGGAAAGGAATAGAATGGAATGGAATTGGATGGATCAGAATAAAAAGGAATGGAATCGAAAGGAATGGAATCGAATGGAAATTCATCGAATGGAATGGAATGGAATGGACTGGAATGGAATTGAATGGAATGGAATTGACTGTAATAGAGTCGAATGGAATGGAATTGAATGGAATCGAAAGGAGTGGAATGGAATGGAGTGTTATGGAAAGATATCGAATGGAATGAAATGGAATGGATTCGAAAGGAATGGACTGGAATGGATTGGACTCCAATGGAATGGACTGGAGAGGAATGGACTCGAATGGAATGGAAATGAAGGGAAAGGAAGAGAACGGAATGGAATCGGATGGAAAGGAACGGAAAGGAATGGAGTCAAATGGAATGAATTGTAATGGAATATATTTGAATGAATGGACTGGAGTGGAATGGAATTGAATGCAATGGAAACGAGTGGAATGGAATGGAATGGAATAGAATGGAATGGAATGGAATGGAATGGAATGGAAAGGAATGGAATTGAAAGGAATTTATTGGAATGGAATCTGATGGAACGGAATTGAATTGTATGGAGTCGAATGGAAGGGAACAAATTGAATGGCATCAAATTAAATGGAATGGAATCAAATGGAATGGAATCGAAAGGAATGGACTGGAATGGAATGGAATCGAATGGAGTGGACTGCAAAAGAAAGGAATCGAATGTAATGGACTGGAATGGAATGGAATCGAATGGAGTGGACTGCAAAAGAAAGGAATCGAATGTAATGCAATGGAATGGAATGGAGTCAAATGGAATGGACTGCAAAAGAAAGGAATCGAACAGATTAGAATCGAATGGAACGGAATGGAATGGAAAAGAATAGAATGGAATGGAATGCAATGGACTCAATTGGAATGTAGTCGAATGGAATGGAATCGAATGGAATGGAATCGAATGGAATGGAATCGAATAAAAAGGAATTGAATGGAATTTAAAGGAATAGATTGGAATGGAGTGTAATGGAAAGATACCTAATGGAATGGACTTGAATGGAATTGACTGGAATGGAATGGACTGGAGTGGAATGGACACGAATGGAATGGATATGAATGAAACGGAATGCAATGGAATGGATTGGAATGGAATAGAATGGAAAGGGATTGGATGGAACGGAATGGAATGGAATAGATTTGACTGGAATAGAATCAAATGAAATTTCGTCAGATGGAAGGGAATGGAATGTACTCGAATTGAATGAACTCGAATGGAATTGAATGGAATGGACTGTCATTGAATGGAATGGAATGGAATGCAAAAGGAATGAAATGGAATGGAATGGACCGAAATGTGATGGACTCGAATGGAATGGACTTGAATGGAATTGAACGGAATGGACTGTTATTGAATGGAATGGAAAGAAATGCAAATGGAATGGAATGGAATGGAATGGAGCGGAATGGAATGGACCCAAATTTAATGGAGTCGAATGGAATGGACTCAAATTTAATGTACTCGAATGGAATGGACTCGAATGGAATTGAATGGAATGGACTGTCTTTGAATGGAATGGAATGCAAATGGAATGGAATGGAATGGAGTGGAATGGACCCAAATGTAATGGACTCAAATAGAATGGACTCGAAAGGAATGGTCCTGAATGGAATTTATTCAAATAGAATGGAATCGAATGGAATGCAATAGTATGGAATGGAATTGACTGGAATGGAATTGAAAGGAAAGGACTGGAATGAATGGAGTGGAATAGAATGGATTCAAATATAATGAATTGAAAAGTAATTGATTCAAATGGAATGGAATCAAACGGAAAGTAATAAAATGGAACGGAATGGAATACAATAGAATGGAATAGAATGGAATGCAATGGAATGGAATGAAGTGGAATCGCGTGGAATGGAATCGAATGGAATATAATCGCAAGGATTGGAATCAAACGGAATGAACTGGAACAAAATGGAATCAAAAGGACAGGAATCGAACAGAATGGAATGGAATGGAATTGACTAGAATGGAATGGATTCGAATGGAATGGAACCGAGCAGAATGGAATTGAAAGGAGTGGAATTGAATGGAAACAAAAAGAAAAGAATGGAATGGAGTGTAATTTAAAGATATCAAATGGAAAGGAATGGAATGGACTCGAATGGAATGGACTGGAATAGAATGGACTGGAATACAATGGAATGGAGTGGAATGGACTCGAATGGAATGGAAGGGAATGGAATTGAAAGGAGTAGAAAGGAACTCAGTCATGTGTAACGGAATGGAATGTAATGGAGACAAATGGAATAGAATCGAATGGAATGGCATCGAATGGAATGGAATTGAATGGAATGGATTCCAATGGAATGGAATGGAACAAAAATGGAATTGAACGGACTGGAATAGAATGGAATGGAATGGAAGGGACTCGAATGGAATGGAGTCAAATGCAATGGAACCGAATGGAATGGAATTGAATGGAATGGAATTGAATTGAATAGTATGGAATGGAATGGAATGGAAAGATATTGAGTGGAATGGAATGGAATTGAATGGACTCGGATGGAACGGACTGGAATGGAATGGAGATGAATGTAATGGACTGGAGTGGAATGGACTCGAATGGAATCGAAACGAATCGAATGGAGGGAATGGAATTGAAAGGAATAGAAATGAACAGAATCGGATGAAATGGAATAGAATGGAATGGAGACTAATGGAACAGAATCGAATGGAATGACATCGAATGGAATGGAATGAAATGAAATGGACACGATTGGAATAGAACAGAATGGAATGAGATCGAATGGCATGGAAAGGAATGGAAAGGAATGAAATGGAAAGGAATGAAATGGAAAGGAATGGAATGGAACCAATTATAATGGACTAGAATTGAATGGACTCAAATAGATTGGACTCCAAAGGAATGGTCTCGAATGGAATTTATTCGAATAGAATGGAATCGAATGGGAGGCAATAGTATGGAAAGGAATAGAAAGGAATGGAATCAAATGGAATTCACCGGAATGGAATGTATTGGAATAGAATGGACTCGACTGTAATGGATTGCAATGTAATTGATTTGAACGGAATGGATTCAAATATAATGTAATCAAATAGAATGGAATGGTATGAAATGGAAAGGAATAGAATGGAATGTAATAAAATTGAAGGGAGTGGAATTAAGTGGAATGGAATCGAATGGAAAGGAATCAAATGGAATGGACAGGAATGGAATGGACTCGAATAGAATGGACTGGAACAAAATGGAATCGAATGGATTGGATTCGAATGGAACGGATTGGAATGGAATGGAATGTAATCCAAAGGCATGGAGTCAAATGGAATGGAACCAAATGGAAAGGAAATGAATGAAATGGAATTGAATGGAATTGAAAGTATAGAATGGAATGGAGTGTAATCTAGAGATATCGAATGGAATTGAATGGAATGGACTCGAATGGAATGGAGTTGAAAGGAAAGAATCGAAAGAAATGGAATTGAATGGAATGGAATTGAATAGAATCGAAAGACAGAATAGAATGGAGTGTAACGGAAAGATATCGAATAGAAAGGAATGGAATGGAATGGATTTGAATGGAATGGATTTGAATGGAATGGACTCGAATGGAAATGACTGGAATGGAATGAATGGACTACAATGGAATGGACTGGAGTGGAATGGACTGGAATGGAAGGGAGAAGAATGGAATGGAATGGAATGGAAAGGAATAGAATGGAATGAATTCGGATTTCATGGAATGGAATGGAATGGAATGGAATCGAATGGAAGAGAATCGAATAGAATGGCATCAAATAGAATGGAAAGGAATGGAATGGAATGGAATGGACTCCAAATTAATAGACTCGAATGGAATAGAATCAAATGGAATGGCCTTGAATGGAATGGAATGGAGTGGAATGGAATGTAATGGAATGGAATGGAGTCGAATGGAATGGAGTCAAATGGAATAGAATCAAATGAAATGGCATCGAATGGAATGGAACGGAATGGAATGGAATGGAATGGAATGGAATGGAATGGAATGGACTCAAATGTAATGGACTCGAATGGAATGGACTCAAAGAGAAAGGATTCGAAAATAATGTTCTCGAATGGAATTTATTCGAATACAATGGAATCGAATGGAATGCAATAGTATGGAATGGAATCGAACGGAATGGAATCGAATGGAATAGACCAGAATGGAATGGACTGGAATAGAACGGACTCGAATGTAATGGATGGCAATGTAATTGATTCGAATGGAATGGAATATAATGGAATGTAATCAAATGGAATGGAATGCAAAGCAATGGAATGGAATAGAATGGAATGCAATGGAATGGTACGGTGTGGAATTGAGTGGAATGGAATCGAATTGAGTGGAATCGAAGGGAAAAGAATCGAATGGAATGGACTGGAATGGAATGGACTCGAATGGAATGGACTGCAACAAAATGGAATCATACGGATCGGAATCGAATGCAATGGAATGAAATGAAATGGAATTTACACGAATGGAATGGAGTTGAATGGAATGGAATAGAATGGAATGGAATGGAATGGATTCGTAAGGAATAGAATGCAACGGAGTGTAATGGAAAGTTATCAATTGGAATGGAATGCAATGGAATCGAATGCAATGGACTGGAATGGAATGGACTAGAATGGAATGGGCTGAAGTGGAATGGACTTGAATGGAAAGGAAACGAATGGAATGGAATGGAATGGAATGGAATGGAAAGGAATAGAATGGAATGGAATTTGATGGAACGGAGTGGAATGTAATGGAGTCTAATGGAATAGAATACAATGGAGTGACATCAAATGAAAAGGAATGTTATGGAATGGACTCGATTGGAATGGATTCTAATTGAATGGAATCGAATGGAATGGAATGAAATATAATGGAATTGAATTGAATCGAAAGGAATAGAATGGAATGGAGTAAAATGTAAAGAAATTGAATGGAATGGAAAGGATTGGACTCGAATGACATTTACTGGAATTGAATGGACTCTTATGGAATGGACTGGAGTGGAATGGACAAAAAAGTTATGGAAACTAATGGAATGGAATGGAGAGGAATAGAATGGAATGGAATAGGATGGAACGGAGTGGAATGTAATGGAGTTTAATGGAATAGAATCCAATGGAGTGACATTGAATGGAATGGAATGGACTCGAATGGAATGGACTGGAACAAAATGTAATAGAATGGATTGGAATTAAACGGAACTGAATGGAATGGACTCGAATGGAATGGAGTGAAATGGAATGGAACTTAATGGAATGGAATTGAATGGAATTGAAAAGAAGAGAATGGAATGGAGTGTAATTTAAAGATATGCAATGGAATGCAATGGAATGGAATGGAATGGAATGGAATGGAATGGCCTCGAATGGAATGGACTGTAATGGAATGGACTCGAAATGAATGGACTGGAAAAAATGGAATCGAATGGATTGAAATTGAAAGGAACTGAATGAAACGGAATGGAATGGAATTTAATGGACTCGAATGGAATGGAGTCGAATGGAATGGAATCAAATGCAATGGAAGCAAATGGAATGGAATTTAAAGGAATTGAAAGGAATAGAATGGAATGGAGTGTAATGGAAAGATGTCGAATGGAATGGAATGGAATGGAATGGAATGGAATGGAATGGACTAGAATAGAATGGAGTCGAATGGCATGGAACCGAATGGAATGGAATTGAATGGAATCGAAAGGAATAGAATGGAATGGAGTGTAATGGAAAGATAACCAATGGAATGGAATGGAATGGAATGGACTTGATGGGAAGGGAGAGGAATGGAATGGACTAGAATGGAATGGTCAGGAGGGGAATGGACTCGAATAGAATGGAAACGAATGGAATGAAATGCAGTGGAATGGAATGCAATGGAATGGAATGGAAACGAATGGAATGAAAAGGATTGGAATGTAATGCAATGGAATGGAATGGAATGGAAATGAATGGAATGAAAAGGATTGGAATGGAATGCAATGGAATGGAATGGAAAGGAATATAATGGAATGGAATATGATGCAACGTAATGGAATGGAATGGTGTGAAATGAAGTAGAATCAAATGGAATGCCATCAAATGGAATGGAATGGAATGGAATGGACTCGAATGGAATGGACTTGAATGGAATAGAGTCAAATGGAATGTCATAGAATGGAATGGAATGGAATGGAATGGAAGGGAATGCAATGGACCCAAATGTAATGGACTAGAAAGCAATGGAATCAAATTGAATGGAATCGAAAGTAGTGCAAGAGTACGGAATGGAAACGAATGGAATGGTGTCAAAAGGAATGGACTCGAATGGAATGGACAGGAATTGAATGGATTCACATGGATTGGACTGGAGTCGAACGGACTCAAATGGAATGGATACCAGTGGAATGGAATTGAATGGAATGGAAAGGAATAGAGTGGAATGGATTTGAATGGAATGGAAAGGAAAAGAACGGAATGGAATTAGATGGATCGGAATGGAATGGAATGCAGTCGAATGAAACAGAATTGAATGGAATGGCATCGAATGGAATGTAATGGAATTTTATGGAATGGACTAAAATTGAGTAGAATAGAAGGGAATGGCAGTGAATGGAATGGAATTGAATGGAGTAGACCCAAATGTAAAGAAATCAAATGGAATGGACTCAAATAGAATGGACCCAAAAGGAATGGTCTCAAATGGAATTTATTTGAATAGAATGGAATCGAATGTAATGCAATAGTATGGTTTGGAATAGAATCGAATGGAATCGAATGGAATGGAACGGAATAGAATGGACTGGAATAGAGCAAAATCGAATGCAATGGATTGCAAAGTAATTGATTCGAATGGAATGGAATCAAAAGGAATGTAATCAAAGTGAATGGAATGGAATGCAATGGAATGGAATAGAATGGAATGCAATGGAATGGAACGGAGTGGAATCGAGTGGAATGGAATCGAATGGAATGGAACTGAATGGAATGTCCTGGAATGGAATGGACTCGAATGGAATTTACTGGAACAAAATGGAATCAAACGGATTGGAATCAAACAGAACAGAATGGAAAGGAATGGAATGGACTCGAGTGGAATGGTTTTGAATGTAATGTAACCGAATGGAATGGAATCGAATGGAATGGAATTGAATGAATTCGAAAGCAATAGAATGGTGTGGAGTGTAGTGGAAAGATATCGAATGGAATGGAATAGAATGGACTCTAATGGAATGGACTGCAACTTAATGGACTCAAATGAATGGACTCGAGACGAATGGACTAGAATGGAATGGAAATGAATCGAATGGAATTGAGTGCAATGGAAAGGAATAGAATGGAATGGAATCAGAAGGAACTGAATGGAATGGAATGGAGACGAATGGAATAAAATCGAAATGAATGGCATAGAATGGAATGGAATGGAATTTAATGGAATGGACTCGAATGGAATAGAATCTCATGTAATGGCATGGAATGGAATGGAATGGAATGAACCCAAATGTAATGGACACTAATGGAATGGATTCATATAGAATGGATTCAAAAGGAATGGTCTCAAATGGAATATATTTGAATAGAATGGAATCAAAGGGAATGCAAAAGTATGGAATGGAATCGAATGGAATGGACCGAAATAGAATGGACTGGAATAGAATGGACACAAATGTAATGGATTGCAAAGAAATTGATTCGAATGCCTTCGAATAGAATGGAAGGCAATGAAATGGAATGGAATGGAATGCAAAGGAATGGAATAGAATGCAATGGAATGGAATGGAAAGGAGTTGAATAGAGTGGAATGGTATCAAATAGAATGGAATGGAAATTAATGGAATGGACTCGAAAGGAATAGAATCTAATGTAATGGCATGGAATGGAATGGAATGGACCCAAATGTAATGGACCCTAATGGAATGGATTCATATAGAATGGACTCAAAAGGAATGGTCTCGAATGGAATATATTCGAATAGAATGGAATCAAAGGGAATGCAAAAGTATGGAATGGATTCGAATGGAATGGAATCGAATGGAATGTAATCAAATGGAATAGAATGGAATGCAATGGAATGGAACGGAATGGAATTGAGTGGAATGAAATCAAATGGAATGGAATCAAAAGTAATGGAATGCAATGGAATGGACTCAAATGTAATGGACTGGAACAAAATGGAATCTAACGGATTGGAATCATACGGAAGGGAAGGGAATGGAATGGAATGGAATGGAATGGATTCAAACGGAATGGTGTTGAATGGAATGGAACCGAATGGAATGGAATTGAATGGAATCGAAAGGAATAGAATGAAATTGAGTGTAATGGAAAGATATCGAATGGAATGGAATGGAATGGACTCGAATGGAATGGACTGGAGTGGAATGGACACGAATGGAATGGACCGGTGTGTTATGGACTCGAATGAAATGGAAACGAATGGAATGGAAGGGAATGGAATGGAATGCAAAGGAACAGAATGGAATGGAATCGGATGGAATGGAATGGAGTCGAATGGAAAAGAATCCAATGGAATGGCTTCGAATGGAATGGAATGAAATGGAATGGAATGGAAAGGATTCGACTCGAATGGAATGGACTCGAATGGAATAGAGTCGAATGGAATGGCATCGAATGAATGGAATGGAATGGAATGGCATGGAATGGAATGGAATGGACCCAAATGTAATGTACACAAATAGAATGGACTCCAAAAGGAATGGTCTCGAATGGAATTCTTTCGAAAAGACTGGAATCGAGTTGAATGCAATATTATGGAAATGAATCAAATGGAATGGAATCAAATGGAATGTAATCAAACGGAATGGAACGGAATGCAATGGAGTGGAATAGAATAGAATGCAATGGAATGGAAAGGAGTGGGATCGAGTGGAATTGAATCGAATAAAATGGAATTGAATAGAAGGGAATCAATTGGAATGGACTGAAATGTAATGTACTCGAATGGATTGGCCTGGAAATAATTGGAATCGAACATATTGGAATTGAGTGGAATGGAATGGAGTGGAATGGAATGGACTCGATTGGAAGGTAGTCAAATGGAATGGAATTGAATGGAATGGAATCGAATACAATGGAAATGAATGGAATCAAAAAGAATAGAATGGAATGGAGTGTAATGGAAAGATATCGAATGGAATGGAATGGAATGGACAGGAAAGGAATGGACTCGAAAGGAACGGACTGGAGTGGAATGGACTCGAATGGAACGGACTGCAGTGGAATGGACTCGAATGAAAGGGAAACAAATGGAATGGAATGGAATGGAAGGGAAGGAAAAGGAAAAGAATGGAATGGAATCAGATGGAATGGAATGGAGTGGAATGAAGTCAAATGGAATAGAATCGAATGGAATGGCATCGAATGGTATGGAATGGAATGGACTCGAATGAAATGGACACAAATGGAATACAATGGAATGGAAGGGCAAGGAATAGAATGTAATGGAATGAAATGGAGTGGAATGGACACAAATGTAATGGACTTCAATGGAATGGACTCAAATAGAATGGACTCGAAATGAATGGTATTGAATGGAATTTATTCCAACAGAATGGAACCGAATGGAATGCAATAATATGGAACGGAATCGAATAGAAACGAATCTAGTGCAATGGACCAGAGTGGAGAGGACTGGAAGAGAATGCAGTCGAATGTAATGGATTGCAATATAATTGATTCGAATGGAATGGAATCAAATGTAATATACTCAAATGCAATGGAATGGAATACAATGGAATGCAATGTAATGGAACTGAGTGGAATTGAGTGGAATGGAATCGAGTGGAATGTAATCGAATGGAATGGAATCGAATGGAATGTTATGTTATGGAATGGACTGGAACAAAATTGTATCGAACCAACTGGAATGGATTGGAACGGAATGGAGCGGAATGGAATTAAATGGACCAGAATGGAATGGACTGTAATGGAATGGACTGGAACAAAATGGAATGGAACAGATTGAAATCGCGCGGAATGGAATGGAATGGAATGGACTCGAATGGAAAGGAGTCAAATGGAATGGAATCGAATGGAATGGAATCGAATGGAATTGAATTCAATGGAATCGAAAGGAATAGAATGGAATGGAGTGTAATTGAAAGATATCGAATGGAATGAAATGGAAATGACTCGAATGGAATGGACTGGAATGTAATGGACATGATTGGAAAGGTACTGGAGTGGAATGGACTCGAATGCAAAGAAAACGAATGGAATTGAAAAGAATGGAACAGAAAGGAATAGAATGGAATGGAAGCGGATGGGATGGAATGCAGTGGAACAGAATGGTCTCAAATGGAATGGACTCGAATGGAATAGAATAGAATGGAATGGCATCAAATGGAATGGAAAGGAATGGAGCGTAATGGAAAGATATCAAATGGAATGGAATGGACTTCAATGGACTGGGCTGGATTAGAATTTTCTCGAATGGAATGGACTGGAGTGGAATGGACTGGAATGGAATGAAAATGAATGGAATGGAATGGAATGGAAAGGAAAGAATGGAATGGAATCAGATTGAAAGGAATGGAATGGAATGGAGTCAAATGGCATAGAATCCAATGGAATGGCTTCGAATGGAACGGAATGGAATGAAATGGAATGGAATGAAGTTGAATGGAATGGACTCAAATGAAATAGAATCGAATGGAATGGCATCGAATGGAATGGAATGGAAAGGAATGGAATAGACCCAAATGTAATGTATTCAAATGGAATGGACTCAATTAGAATGAACTTGAAAGGAATGGTCTCGAATGGAATTTATTCGAATTGAATGGAATCGAATGGAATGCAATAATATGGAATGGAATTGAATGGATGGAGTCAAATGGAATGGACCGGAATGGAAGGACTGGAAGAAAATGGACAGGAATGTAATGTATTGCAATGTAATTGATTCGAATGGAATGGAATCTAATGGAATGTAATCAAAGGGGGAGGAATGGAATGCAATGAAATGGAATAGAATGGAATGCACTGGAATGGAACGGAGTGGAATCGAGCGGAATGGAATCAAATGGAATGGAATAGAATGGAATGGAATCGATAGGAATGGATTGGAATATAATGGACTCGAATGGATTGGACTGGAAAAAAATGGAATCGGACAGATTGGAATCAAACAGAATGTAATGGAATTGAATGGAATGGACTCGAATGGAATGGAAAGGAATAGAATGGAATTGAAAGGGATTGAAAGGAATAGAATGGAATGGAGTGTAATGGACAGAAATCGAACCGAATGGAATGGAATGGACTTGAATGTAATGTACTAGAATTGAATTGACTCGAATGGAATGGATGGGAGTGGAATGGATGCGAATGGAAATGAAACGAATGGAATGGAATGGAATGGAATGGAATGGAATGGAATAGAATGGATTGGAATTGGATGGAACGCAATGGAATGTAATGGAGTCGAATGGAATGGACTCGAATGGAATGGAATGGCATTGAATGCAATTTAATGGAATGGAATGGACCCAATTGTAATGGACTGGAATGGAATGGACTCAAATAGAATGGACTCAAAAGGAAGGGTCTCGAATGGAATTTATTCGATTAGAATGGAAAGGAATGGAATGCAATAGTATGGAATGGTATCGAATGGAATGGAATCGAATGGAGTGGACCAGAATGGAGTGGACTGTAATAGAATGGACAGGAATGTAATGGATTGCAATGTAATTGATTTTAATGGAATGGAATCGAATGGAATAGAAAGGAATGGAGTGGAATGGAAAGATAAAAAAGGAATGCAATTTAATGGAATGGACTCGAGTGGAATGGACTGGAATGGAATGCACTCGAATGGAATGGACTTGAATGGAATTGGCAGGAGTGGAATGGACTCGAATGGCATGGAAATTAATGGAATGGAATGGAATGGAAAAGTATAGAATGGAATGGAATGGGATGGAACGGAATGGAGTCGAATGGAATAGAATCGAATGGAATGGCATCAAATGGAATGAAATGAAATGGAATGGAATGGACTCGAATGGAATGCACTTGAATGGAATATAATTGAATGGAATGGCATCGAATGTAATGGAATGGAATGTCATGGAATGGAAAGGACCCAAATGTATTGGAATCGAATGGAACCCAGCAATATGGAATGGAATCGAATGGAATGGAATCAAATGGAATGGACTGCAAAGGAATGGACTGGAATAGAACGGACACGAATGTAATGTATTGCAACGTGATTGATTCGAATGGTATGGAATCGAATGGAATGCAATCAAATGTAATGAAATGGAATGCAATGGAATGGAATAGAATGGAATGAAATGGAATGGAACACAGTGGAATCGAGTGGAATGTAATCGAATGGAATGGAATCAAATGGAATGTACTGGAATGGAATGGAATGGAATGGAATAAATTGGAACATAATGGAATCGAACAGATTGGAATTGAACGGAACGGAATGGAATGGAAAGGAATCGAATGGAATGGAGTCGAATGGAAAGGAATCAAATGGAATGGAATTGAATGGCATTGAATCGAATGAAATGGAGTTGAATGGAATGGAAAGAATAGAATGGAATGGAGCGTAATGGAAAGATATCAAATGAAATGGAATGGAATGGAATGGACTCGAATGGAATTGACTGGAATGCAATGAACTCGAATGAAATGGACAGTAGTGGAATGGACTCGAATGGAATGGAAACTAATGGAATGGATTTGAATAGAATGGAATGGAAAGGAATAGAATGGAATGGAATCAGATGGAAAGGAATTGAATGGAATGGAGTCAAATGGAATATAATCGAATGGAAAGGAATCAAATGGAATGGAATGGAATGGAATGCAATAGAACGGAATTGAATGTAATGGTTTCCAATGCTATTGATTTGAATGGAATGGAAACGAATGGAACGTACTCAAATGGAACGGAGTGGTATGCAATGGAATGGATTAGAACGGAATGCAGGGGAATTGAACGGAGTGGAATTGAGTGGAATGAAGTCGAATGGAATGGAATCGAATGGAAGGGAATCGAATGTAATGGACTGGAATGGAATGAACTCGAATGGTATGAGCTGGAACATATTGGAATGGAAAGGATTAGAGTCGAACTGAAGGGAATGGAATTGAATGGATTGCAAGGGAATTGACTCAAATGGAATGGAGTCGAAAGGAATGGAACTGAATTGAATAAAATCGAATGTAATCAAATGGAAAGTAACGGAATGCAATGGAATGGAATAGAATGGAATGCAATGGAATGGAATGGAGTGGAATCAAGTGGAATTGAATTGAATGGAATGGAATCGAATGGAATGGAATAGAATGGAATGGAATCAAATAGATTGGAATTGAATGGAAATGAAAGGAATAGAATGGAATTGAGTGTAATTGAAAGATATCGAATGGAATGGAATGGAATGGACTCGAATGGAATGGACTGGAATGGAATGGACCCGAATGGAATAGACTGGAGTGGAATGGACTAGAAAGGAATGGAAACGAATGGAATGGAATGGAATGGAATGGAATAGAATGTAAAGGAATTGAAAAGAATGGAATGGAATGGAATAGAATGTAAAGGAATGGAAAGGAATGGAATGGAATGGAGTCGAATGCAATAGAATCGAATAGAATGGCATCGAATGGACTGGAAAGGAATGGTATGGAATGGAGAGAACTCGAATGAAATTGACTCAAATGGAATGGGCACAAATGGAATAGAATTGAATGGAATGTCACGGAATAGAATGGAATAGAATGGACAAAAAGGTAATGGACTCGAATGGAATGGACTCAAATAGAATGGACTCGAAAGGAATGGTCTCGAAAGAAACTTATTTCAATTGAATGAATTCTAACGGAAAGAAATAGTATGGAATGGAATCGAATGGAATGGCTTCGAATTGAATGGATCAGAATGGAATGGACTGGAATAGAATGGACTTGAATGCAATGGATTGCAATGTAATAGGTTCGAAAGGAATGTAATCAAATGGAATGGAATGGAATGCAATGGAATGGAATAGAATGGATTGCAATGGAATGGAAAAGAGTGGAATCGAGTGGAATGGAATCAAATGGAATGGAATCGAATGGAATGGACTGGAATAAAATTGAATCGAATGGAAAGGGATAGAATGGAATAGAATGGAATGGAATGGAATGGACTCGAATGGAATGGAGTCGAATGGAATGGAATCGAATGGATTGGAATCGAATGGAATGGAATTGAATTGAATCAAAAGGAATGGAATGGAAAGGAGTGTAATGGAAAGATATCAAATGATATGAAATGGAATTAAATGAAATGGACTTGAACAGAATGATCTGGAGTGGAATGGACTCTAATGGAATGGACTGGAATGGAATAGACTCGAATGGAATGGACTGGATTGGAATGGACATGAATGGAATGGAAACAAATAGAATGGAATGCAGTGGAATAGAATGGAACGGAATAGAATGGAATGGAATTGGATGGAACGGAATGGAATGGAATGGAGTCGAATGCAATAGAATCGAATGAAATGGCATCTAATGGAATGGACTGGAATTTAATGGAATGGAAGGGACTTTAAAGCAATGGATTCGAATGGAAGATAATCGAATGGAATGGCATCGAATGGAATGGAATGAAATGTCATGGAATGGAATTTACCCAAAGGTAATGGACTAGAAACGAATGGACTCAAATAGAATGGACTCGAAAGGAATGGTCTGGAATGGAATTTATTCGAATAGAATGGAATTGAATGGAATGCAGTAGTATGGAATTGATTCAAATAGAATGGAATTGAAAGGAATGGACAGGAAAGGAATGGCATGGAATAGAATGGACACGAATGTAATGGATTGCAATGTGATTGATTCGAATGGAATGGAATCGAATTCAATGTAATCAAATGGAATGGAATTGAATGCAATGTAATGAAATAGAATGGAATCCGATGGAATGGAACGCAGTGGAATCGAGTGGAATGGAATCGAATGGAATGGACTGGAATAAAATGGAGTCGAATGGAATGGCCTGGAACATAATGGAATCAAACGGATTGGAATTGAAAGGAAGGGAGTGGAATGGAATGGAATGGACTTGAATGGAGTGGAGTCGAATGGAATGGAATCGAATGAAATGGATTTGAATGGAATCAAAAGGAAAAGAATGGGATGGATTGTGATGGAAAGATATCGAATGGAATGAAATGGAATGGAATGGACTCTAATGGAATGGACTGGAATGCAATCAACTCGAATGGAAAGGACTGGAGTGGAATGGACTTGACGGGAATGGAAACGAATGGAATGGAATGGAATGGAAAGGAATAGAATGGAATGGAATCGGATGGAATGGAATGGAATGGAATGGAATGGAGTCGTATGGAATATAATCGAATGGAATGGAATCAAATGGAATGGAATGACATTGAATGGAATGGGCTCAAATGGAATGGAATCGGATGGAATGGAATGGAATGGAATGGAGTCGTATGGAATATAATCGAATGGAATGGAATCAAATGGAATGGAATGAAATCGAATGGAATGGGCTCAAATGGAATGGACTCGAATGGAATGAATTAAATGGAATGGCCTGGAATTGAATGGAATGGAATGGAACCAAATATAATGGACTCGAACGGAATGGACTCAAATAGAATGTACTCAAAAGGAATGGTCTTGAATGAAATTTATTCAAATAGAATGGAATCAAATGGATTTGCAATAGTAAGGAATGGAATCAAATGGAATGGAATCGAATGGAATATACCGGAAAGGAATGGACTGGAATGGAATAGACTCGAATGGAATAGACTGGAGCAAATAGGAATCGAATGGATTAGAATCGAATGGAATGGAATGGACTCGAATTCAATGGAGTCTAATGGAATGGAATCGAATGGAATGGAATCGAATGGAATGGAATTGAATGGAAACGAAAGGAATAGAATGGAATGGAGTGTAATGGGAATATATGAAATGGAATGGAATGGAATGGAATCAAATGGAATGGACTGGAATGAAAAGGAATCTAATGGAAGGGACTGGAATGGAATGGACTCGAATGGAATGGAAACGAATAGAATGAAATGAAATGCAATGCAATGGAATGAAAGGTATAGTATGGAATGGAATCAAATGGAATGGAATGGAAGGGAATGGAGTCGAATGGAAATATAATCGAATGGAATGGCATCGAATGAAATGGAATGGAATGGACCCGAATATAATGGAGTCGAATGGAATGGACACAAATAGAATGGATTTGAAAGGAATGGTCTCGAATGGAATTTATACAAATAGACGGGAATCGAATGGAATGCAATAGTATGGAATGGAATTGAATGGAATGGAAACAAATGGAATGGACTGGAATGGAATGGACTGGAATAGAACGGACTCGATTGTAACATATTGCAATGTAATTGATTCAAATGGAATCGAATGGAATGTAATCAAAAGGAATGGAATGGAATGCAATGGAATGGAATTGTATGGAATGCAATGGAATTTAATGGAGTGAAATCGATTGGAATGGAATTGAATGGAATGGAATAGAATGGAATGCAATCAAATGGAATGGAGTCGAATGGAATGAACTGGAACAAAATGGAATCAAATGGATTGGAATCAAAGGGAACGGAATGGAATGGAAACCAATGGAATGGAAAGGACTCGAATGGAATGGAGTCGAATAGAATGGAATTGAATGGAATAGAATCTAATGGAATTGAATCGAAGGAAATGGAATTGAAAGGAATCGAATGGTATAGAATAGAATGGGGTGTAATGGAAAGATATCAAATGGAATGGAATGGAATGAAATGGAATCGAATGGCATGGACTGGAATAGAATAAACTCGAAAGGAATGGAGTCAAAAGGAATGGAATCGAATGGAATGGAATTGAAAGGAATTAAAGGAATAGAATGGAATGGAGTGTAATGGAAAGATATCAAATGGAATGGAAAGGAAATGATTGGACTCGAATGGAATGGACTGGAATGGAATAGAATCTAATGGAATGTACTGGAGTGGAATGGACTCGAATGGAATGGACTGGAGTGTATTGGACTAGAATGGAATGGAAACGAAAGGAATGGAATGGAATGGAAAGGAATAGAATGGAATGGAATTGTATAGAACTGAAAGGAATGGAATGCAGTCATATGGAATGGCATCAAATGGAAAGACTGGAATGGGATGGAATGGAATGGACTCGAATGGAATCGACTCAAATGGATTATAATAGAATGGAATGTCATTGAGTGGAATGGAATGGAATGGCATGGAAGGGAATGGAACCAAATGTAATGGACTCGAAAGGAATGGACTTAAATAAAAATGGACTCAAAAGGAATGGTTTCGAATGGAATTTATTCGAATAGAATGGAATCAAATGTAATGCAATAGTATGGAATGGAATCGACAGGATTAGAATAGAATGGAATGGACCGGAATGGAATGGACTGGTATAGAATGGACTCTCATGTAATGGATTGCAATGTAATTGATTCGAATGGAATGGAATCCAATGGACTGTAATCAAATGGAATGAAATGCAATGCAATGGAATGGAATAGAATGGAAAGCAATGGAATGGAACGGACTGCAATATTGTGGAATGGAATCGAATGGAATGGAATCGAATGGAATGGAATCGAATGGAATGGAATCGAATGGAATGGAAACGAATGAAATGGAATGGAATGGGATGGAAAGAAATAGGATGGAATGGAATCGGATGGATCTTAGTGGAATTTATTGGAGTCAAATGGAATAGAACCGAATGGAATGGCATCGAATGGAATGGAATGGAATGGAATCGAATGGAATGGAATCGAATGGAATAGAATAGAATAGAATGGCTTCGAATGGAATGGAATAGAATGAAACGGAATGGAATGGAATTTAATTGAATGGACAGAAATGTAATGGACTCGAATGGAATGGACTCAAATAGAATGGACTCGAAAGGAATGGTCTTGAATGGAATTTATTTGAATAGAATGGAATTGAATGGAATGCTATAGTATGGAATGGAATCGAATGGAATGCATACGAATGGAATGGACCGGAATATGATGGACTGGAATAGAATGGACTCGAATGTAATGGAATGCAATGTAATTGATTTGAATGGAATGGAATCGAATGGAATGCAATCAAAAGCAATGGAATGGAATGCAATGGAATGGAATTGAATGGAATGCAATGGCACGGAATGGAGTGGAACTGAGTGTAATGGAATCAAATGGAATATAATCTAAGGAATGGAATCAAATAGAATGGACTGGAATGGAATGCACTCGAATGGAATGGACTGGAATAAAATGAAATCGAACAGATTGGTATCAAATGGAACGGAATAGAATTGAATGGAATGGAACAGACTCGAATTGAATGGCGTCAAATGGAATGGAGTTGAATGGAATGTAATGGAATGGAATGGAATGGAATGGAATGGACTCGAATGGAAATGACTGGACTGGAATAGACTCGAATGGAATGTAAATGAATGGAATGGAATGGAATGGAACGAATACAGTGGAACGGAATCGGATGGAACAGAATGGAATGGAATGCAGTCGAATGGAATGTAATGGAATGGAATGGACTCAAATGGAATGGACTGGAATGGAATGGACTCGAATGGAAATGACTGGACTGGAATGGACTCGAATGGAATGGAAATGAATGGAATGGAATGGAATGGAACGAATACACTGGAATGGAATCGGATGGAAGAGAATGGAATGGACTGCTGTCGAATGGCATAGCGTCGAATGGAATGGCATCGAAAGGAATGGAATGGAATGGAATGGAATGGACTTGAATGCAATGGACTCGAATGGAATGGACTGGATTGGAATGGACTCGAATGGAATGGACTGTATTGGAATGGACTCGAATGGAATGGAATGGAATGGAATGGAATGGAATGGAATGGAAAGGAATAGAATTGAATTGAATTGGATGGAAGGGAATGGAATGGAATTGAGTCAAATGGAATAGAATCAAATGGAATGGCATCGAATGGCATGGAATGGATTGGAATGGAATTGAAAGGACTGGAATGGAATGGACTTGAATGGAATAGAACAGAATGGATTGGCATCGAATATAATGGAATGGAATAGAATAGATTGGAATGGCATCGAATATAATGGAAAGGAATGGAATAGAATGGAACGGAATGGAATGGAACGGAATAGATCCCAATGTAATGGACTCTAATGGAATGGCCTTAAATAGAATGGACTCAAAAGGAATCGCCTCAAATGGAATTTAATCAATAGAATGTCATCGAATGGAATGCAATAGTATGGAATGGAATGGAATGGAATGGAATCGAACGGAATGGACCGGAATAAAATGGACTGGAAAAGAATGGACTCGGATGTAATGGATTGCAATGTAATTGATTCGAATGGAATGGAATCAAATGGAATGTAATCAAATGGAATGGAATGGAATGGAATGGAATAGAATGGAATCCAATCGAGTGGAACGGAGTGCAATAGAGTGGAATGGAATCAAATAGAATGGAATGGAATGGAATGGAAACGAATGGAATTGACTAGACTGGAATGGACTTGAATGGAATGGATTGAAACAAAATGGAATCGAACAGATTGGTATCGAATGGAATGGAATGATTTGGAATGGAATGTAATCGAATGTTGTGGAGTTGAATGGAATGTAACCACAAGAAGTGGAATTGAATGGAATCGAAAGGAATAGAATGGAATGGAGTGTAATGGAAAGATATCGATTGGAATGGAATGGACTCGAATGGAATGGACGGGAATGAAATGGGCTCAAATGGAATGGACTGGAGTGGAATGGACCATAATGGAATGGAACTGAATGGAATGGAATGGAATGGAATGGAAAAGAATAGATTGAAATGGAATCGGATGGAATAGAACGGAATGGAAAGGAGCCGAATGAAATAGAATCGAATGGAATGGCATCAAAAGGAATGGAATGGAATGGAATGGACTCAAAAGGAATGGACTCGAATGGAATGGAATGGAATGGAATGGAATGAAAGGAATAGGATGGAATGGAGTTTGAAGGAAGGGAATGGAATTGAATGGATTGTAATGGAATAGAATCGAATGGAATGGCATCGAATGGAATAGAATAGAATGGAAAGTAATGGACTCGAATGGAATGGACTCAAATACAATGGACTCGAAAGGAATGGTGTCAAATGGAATTTATTCAATAGAATGGCATCAAATGGAATGCAATAGTATGGAATGGAATCGAATGGAATGGAATCAAATGGAGTGGACCAGAATGGAGTGGATGGAATAGAACGGATTCGAATGTAATGGATTGCAATGTAATTGATCCATAAATAATGGAATCGAACGGAAGGTTATCAAATGAAATGGAAAGGAATGCAATGGAATGGAATAGAATGGAATGCAATGGAAAGGAACGGAGTGGAATCGAGTGAAATGGAATCAAATGGAATGGAGTCGAATGGAATTGAATCAAATGGAATGGATTCGAATGGAACGGACTGAAAGAAAATGGAATCAAACGGATTCTAATCGAACGGAACGGAATGGAATGGAATGGAAAGGAATGGACTCGAAAGGAATGGAGTTGAATGGAATGGAACCGAATGGAATGGAATCGAGTGGAATGGAATTGAAAGGAATAGAATGGAATGGACTTTAATGGAAAGATATTGAAAGGAATGGAATAGACACCAATGGAAAGAACTGGAATGGAATTGAATCGAATGGAATGGTCTGGAGTGGAATGGACTCGAAAAGAATGGAAACGAACGAAATGGAATGGAATGGAATGGAAAGGAATAGAATGGAATGGAATCAGATGAAACGGAATGGAATGGAATCGGATGAAATGGAATAGAATGGCATGTAGTCGAATGGAATAGAATCAAATGGAATGGCATTGAATGGAATGGAATGGAATGGAATGGACTCGAATGGCATGAACTCGAATGGAATAGAACAGAATGTAATGGCATCAAATGGAATGGAAATGTATGTATTGGAATGGAAAGGATTGGAATGGTTCCAAATATAATGGACTCGAATGGAATGGACTCAAATAGAATGGACTCGAAAGGAATGGTCTCAAATGGAATTTATTCTAATAGAATGGAATCGAATGGAATGCAATAGTATGGAATGGAATCGAATGGAATGGAATCAAATGGAATGGAACGGAATGGAATGGACTGGAATAGAATGGACTCGAATTTAATGGATTGCAATTTATTTCATTTAAATGGAATGGAATCGATTGGAATGTAAAGAAATGGAATGGAATGGAATGGAATGCAATGGAATGGAATAAAATGGAAAGCAATGGAATGAAACGGGGTGGAATCGAGTGGAATGGAATGGAATGGAATGGAATGGAATGGAATGGAAACGAATAGAATGAACTGGAATGGAATGGACTGGAACAAAATGGAATCGAAAGGATTGGAATCGAACAGAAAGGAATGGAATGGAACTGAATGGAAAGGAATGGAGTCGAATGGAATGGAATCAAATGGAATGGAATCGAATGGAATGGAATTGAATGGAATGGAATGGAATGGAATGGAGTGTAATGGAAAGATATCAAATGGAATGGAATGGAATGGAACGTGATCGAATGGAATGGACTGGAATGGAATGGACTCGACTGTAAAGGAAACGAATGGAATGGAATGGAATGGAAAGGAATAGAATGGAATGGATTTGGATGGAACGGAATGGAGTGCAATGGAGTCAAAAGGAATAGAATTGAATGGAATTACATCGAATGGAATGGAATGCAATGGAATGGAAAAGAATGGAATGGACTGGAATGCAATGGACTCGGTTGGAATTTACTCGAATAGAATGGAATCAAAAGGTATGCAATAGTATGAAATGGGATCCAATGGAAGTGTATTGAATGGAATGGAATGGAATTGAATGGACTGGAATAGAACGGACGCGATAGTAATGAATGGAAATATAATTTATTCGAATGCCTTGGAATCGAATGAAATGTAATCAAATGGAAATGAAAGGAATGCAATGGAATGGAATAGAATGGAATTCAATGGAATAGAACGGAGTGGAATCGAGTGTAAAGGAATTGAATCGAATGGAATCAAATCGAGTGGAATCGAACGGAATGGACTGGAAAGGAATGGAATCAAATGGATTCGACTGGAAGAAAATGTGATTGAATGCATTGGAATCAAATGGAACGGAATGGAATGGAATCGAATGGAATGGAATGGAATCGAATGGAATGGGGTCGAATGAAATGGAATGGAATGGAAAGGAATGAAATGGAATGGGTTGGAATGGAATGGAATAGAATGGAATAGAATGGAATGGAATTGGTTGGAAAGGAGTGGAATGGAATAGACTCGAATGGAATAGAATGGAATGGATAGGCATCTAACGGAATGTAATGGAATGGAATGGAGTCGAATAGAATGGACCCAAATGTAATGGACTCGAATGGAATGGACTCAAATAGAATGGACTCAAAAGGAATGGTCTCGAATGGAATTTATTGGAATTGAATGGAATCAAATGGAATGCAATAGTATGTAATGGAATCGAATGGAATGCATTCAGATGGAATGGACCAGAAAGGAATGGTCTGGAATACAATGGACTCGAAAGTATTTGGATTGCAATGTAATTAATTCGAAAGGAATGGAATAGAATGGAAAGTAATCAAATGGAATGGAATGGAATGCAAAGGAATTTATTGGAGTGGAATCGAGTGGAATGGAATCGATTGGAATTGAATCGAATGGAATGGACTGGAACAAAATGGAATCGAACAGATTGGAATTCAATGGCACTGAATCGATGGAATGGAATGGACTCGAATGGAAGGGAGTCGATTCGAATGGAACCAAATGGACTGGAATCAAAAGGAATGGAATGGAATAGAATGGATTGTAATGGAAGATATCGAATGGAATGGAATGGATTCAGATGGAATGGAGTCGAAAGGAGTGAAATTGAATGGAATGGAATTGAATAGAATCGAATGCAATAGAATGGAATGGAGTGTAATGGAAAATATCTAATGGAAAGGAATGGAAGGGAATGGACTCAAAAGTAATGGACTGGAATGGAATGGAAACGAATGGAATGGACTGGAGAGGAATGGACTCAAATGGAATGGAATGAAAGGAATGGAATGGAATGGAATGTAAAGGAATGGAATTGAATGGAATCAGATGGAATGGAATGGAATGGAATGGAATGGACTCAAATGGAATAGAATCTAATGGAATGGTATCGAGTGGAATGCAATAGAATGGATTGGAAAGGAATCGAGTGGAATGGATTCGAATGGAACAGGATCAATGGAGTGGTATCGAATAGAATGGAATTTAACGGAATGGAATGGAAGGAAATATAATGGACTCTAATGGATTGGACTCAAATAGAATGGTATTGAAAAGAATGGTCTCGAATGGAATTTATTGGAATTGAATGGAATCAAATGGAATGCAATAGTATGTAATGGAATCGAATGGAATGCATTCAGATGGAATGGACCAGAAAGGAATGGTCTGGAATACAATGGACTCGAATGTATTTGGATTGCAATGTAATTGATTCGAAAGGAATGGAATAGAATGGAAAGTAATCAAATGGAATGGAATGGAATTCAAAGGAATTTATTGGAGTGGAATCGAGTGGAATGGAATCGATTGGAATTGAATCGAATGGAATGGACTGGAACAAAATGGAATCGAACAGATTGGAATTCAATGGCACTGAATCAATGGAATGGAATGGACTCGAATGGAAGGGAGTCGATTCGAATGGAACCAAATGGACTGGATTCAAAAGGAATGGAATGGAATGGAATGGAATGGAATAGAATGGATTGTAATGGAAGATATCGAATGGAATGGAATGGATTCAGATGGAATGGAGTCGAAAGGAGTGAAATTGAATGGAATGGAATTGAATAGAATCGAATGCAATAGAATGGAATGGAGTGTAATGGAAAATATCTAATGGAAAGGAATGGAAGGGAATGGACTCGAAAGTAATGGACTGGAATGGAATGGAAATGAATGGAATGGACTGGAGAGGAATGGACTCAAATGGAATGGAATGAAAGGAATGGAATGGAATGGAATGTAAAGGAATGGAATTGAATGGAATCAGATGGAATGGAATGGAATGGAATGGAATGGACTCAAATGGAATAGAATCTAATGGAATGGTATCGAGTGGAATGCAATAGAATGGATTGGAAAGGAATCGAGTGGAATGGATTCGAATGGAACAGGATCAATGGAGTGGTATCGAATAGAATGGAATTTAACGGAATGGAATGGAAAGAAATATAATGGACTCTAATGGATTGGACTCAAATAGAATGGTCTTGAAAAGAATGGTCTTGAATGGAATTTATTGGAATTGAATGGAATCAAATGGAATGCAATAGTATGGAATAGAATCGAATGGAATGGAATCAAATGGAATGGACCAGAATGGAATGGACTGCAATAGAATGGACTGCAATGTAATGGATTGCAATGTAATTGATTTGAATGTAATGGAATCAAATGGAATGTAATAAAATGGAATGTAATGGAATGCAATGGAATGGAATAGAATGGAATGCAATGGAATGGAACAGAGGGGAATCGAGGGGAATGGATTCAAATGGAAAGGAATCGAATGGAATGGAATCAAATGCAATGGACTGGATTGGAATGGAATCGAATGGAATGGACTGAAATAAAGTGGAATCGAACAGATTGGAGTGGAATGGAATGGAATGGAATGGAATGGAATGGAATGGAATGGACTCGAATGGAATGGAGTCAAATGGAATGGAATCGAATGGTATGGAATTGAACGGAATGGAATTGAATGGAATCGAAAGGAATATAATGGAATGGAGTGTAATGGAAAGATATCGAATGTAATGGACTAGAAAGGAATGGACTGGACTGGAATGGACTGGAATGGAATAGACTAGAGTGGAATGGACTTGAATGGAATGGAAACGGATGGAATGGAATGGAATGGAATGGAATGGAACGGAAAGGAACAGAATAGAATCCAATTGGATGGAAAGGAATGGAATGGAATGTAGTCGAATGGAATAGAATCAAATGGAAAGGCATCAAATGGAATGGAATTGAATGGAATGGAATGAATTGGACTCGAATGGAATGGACTCGAATGGAATATAATCGAATTGAATAGCATCAAATGGAATGGAATAGAATAAAATAGAATCACATGGAACGGAATGGAGTGGAATGGAGTCGAATGGAATAGAATCAAATGGAATGGCATCGAATGGAATGGAGTGGAATGGAATGAAATGGACTCGAATGGAATGGACACGGATGGAATAGAATCGAATGGACTGGCATGGACTGCAATGGAATAGACAGGAATGGAATGGAATGGACCCAAATGTAATGGACTTGAATGGAATGGACTCAAATAGAATGCACTCGAAAGGAATGGTCTTGAATGGAATTTATTCGAATAGAATGGAATCTAATGGAATGCAATAGTATTTAATGGAATCGAATGTAATCTAATCAAAAGGAATGGAGCAGAATGGTATGGACTGGAATAGAATGGACTCGAATGTAACGGATTATAATGTAATTGATTCTAATGGAATGGAATCGAATGGAATGTAATAAAATGGAATGGAAGGGAATACAATGGAATGGAATAGAATAGAATGCAATGGAATGGAACGTAGTGGAATCGAGTGGAATGGAATCGAATGGAATGGACTGGAGTGGAATGGACTCAAATGGAATGGTCTGGAACAAAGTGGAATCGAATGGTTTGGAATCGAATGGAATGGATTAGAATGGAATGGAATGGAATGGACTCGAATGGAATTGAATTGAAAAGAGTCAAAAGGAATAGAATGTAATGGAGTGTAATGGAAAGACATCGAATGGAATGGAATTTAATGGAATGGACTTCAATGGAATGGAGTCTACTGAAATGGAATCGAATTGAATGGAATCGAATGGAATGGAATTGAATATAATTGAAAGGAATAGAAAGGAATGGAGTGTAATGGAAAGATATCTAATGGAAAGGAATGGAATGGAATGGACTCGAATGGAGTGGATTGGAATGGAATGGACTCGAATGGAGTGGAACTCTAAGGAATCGAACGGAATAGAATGGAATAGAGTGTAATTGCAAGATATCAAATGGAATGGAATGGAATGGAATGGACTCGAATGGAATAGAGTAGAATGGAATGGAATTGAATGGAATGGAATCAAATTGAATGGAATTGAGTAGAATCAAAAGGAATAGAAGGGAATGGAGTGTAAAGGAAAGATATCGAATGAAAAGTAATGGAATGGAATGGACTCGAATGGAGTGGATTGTAATGGAATGGACTCGAATGGAATGGACTGGAGAGGAATGGACTCGAAAGCTATGGAAATGATTCAAATGGAATGGAGTGGAATGGAAAGGAATAGGATGGAATGGAATCGGATGGAATGGAATGGAATGGAAAGGAGTCGAGTGGATTAAAATCAAATGGAATGGCATCGGATGGAATGGAATGGAATGGAATGGAATAGACTGTGATGGAATGGACTTGAATTGAACACAATCGAATGGAATGGCATCAAATGGAATGGAATGGAATCAAATGGAATGGACTCGAATGGATTGGACTGGATCAAAACGCAATCGAACGGAATTGAATGGAATGGAATGGAATGGACTTGAATAGAATGGAATCGAATGGAATTTAAACGAATGGAATGAAATTGAATGGAATCAAAAGGGATAGAATGGAATGGAGTGTAATGGAAAGATATCGAATGGAATGGAATGGAATGGAATGGAATGGAATGGAATGGAATGGAATGGAATCAAATGGAACGGACTCGAATGGAACGGACTCGAATGAAATGGACTGGAGTGGAATGGACTTGAATGGAATGACATCGAATGGAATGGAATGGAACAGAATGGAATCGAATGGAATGGACTCGAATGGAATAGAATCGAATGGAATGGCATCGAATGGAATGGAATGGAATTGGATGGACCCAAATGTAATGGACTCGAATGTAACAGACTCAAATAGAATGGATTAAAAAGGAAGGGTCTCGAATGGAATTTATTCGAAAACGGTGGAATCGAATGGAATTCAATAGTATGGAATGGAATCGAATGGAATGGACCAGAGTGGAATGGACTGGAATAGAACAGACTAGAATGTAATGGATTGCAATCCAATTGATTTGAGTTGAATTGAATCAAATGGAATGTAATCATATGGAATGGAATGGTATGCAATGGAATGGAATAGAATGGAATGCAATGGAATGGAATGGAGTGGAATCGAGTGGAATGGAATCGAATGGAATGGACCATAATGGAATAGAATCGAATGTAATGGCATCGAATGGAATGGAAAGGAATGGAATGGAATGCAATGGAACAGATCCAAAAGTAATGGACACGAATGGAGTGGACTCAAATAAAATGGACTCGAAAGGAATGGTCTCGAATGGAGTTTATTCGAATAGAATGGAATCGAAAGGAATGCAATAGCATCTAATGGAATCGAATGGATTTGAATCAAATGGAATGTACCGGAATGGAATGGACTGGAATAGAACAGACTCGAATGTAATGGATTGAATTGTAGTTGATTCGAATGCCATGGAATTTACTGGAATATAATCAAATTTAATGGAATGGAATGCAACGGAATGTAATAGAATGGCATGCAATGGAATGGAACGGAATGGAATCAAGTGGAATGGAATTAAATGGAATGTAATCTAATTGAATGGAATGGAATCGAAAGGAATGGAATTGAATGGAATGGACTGGAATGGAATGGACTCTAGTGGGATTGACTGGAACAAAATAGAATGTAACGGATTGGAATTGAACGGAATGGAATGGAATGGAATGGAATGGAAAGGAATGGACACGAATGGCATGGGGTCGAATGGAATGGAATCGAATGGAATGGACCAGAATGGAATGGAGAGGTATAGAATGGACTCGAATGTAATGGATTGCAAATATTTGATTCAAATGGATTGAAATTGAATGGAATGTAACGAAATGGAATGGAATGGAATGCAAAGGAATGGAGTAGAATGGAATGCAATGGAATGGAAGGGATTGGAATCGCATGGAATGGAATTGAATGGAATGAAATCGAATGGAATGTAGTCGTATGGAATGGACTGGAATCGAATGGAACAAAATGGCGTCGAACGAATTGGAATCGAATGGAATGGAATTAAATGGAAAACACTGGAATAGAAAAGACTCGCATGTAATGGAGAGCAATGTAATTGATTCAAACGGAATGGAACTGAATGGAACATAATCAAATGGAATGGAATGGAATGCACTGGAATGGAATAGAATGGAATGCAATGGAAAGGAACGGAGTGGAATCGAATGGAATTGAATCGATTGGAATGGAATCGAATGGAATGGAATCACATGGAATGGACTGGATTGGAATGGACACTAATGGAATGGAAACGCATGGAATGGAATGAAATCTAATGGAAAGGAGTAGATTGGAATGGAAACGGATGGAGCGGAATGGAATGGAATGGAGTAGAATGGAATAGAATCCATTGGAATGACATCGAATGGAATGGAGTGGAATCGTAAGGATTGGAATTGAATGGAATGGAGTGGACTCGAATGTAATGGACTCGAATGGAAGAGAATTGAAGGGAATTGCGTCAAATTCAATGGAATGGAATGGAAGCAAAAGTAATGGACACAAAAGAAATGGACTCAAATAGAATGGACTCGAATGGAATGGTATTGAATGGAATTTATTCCAATAGAATGGAATCGAATGGAATGCAATAGTATGGAATGGAATCGAATGCAATGGATTCGAATGGAATGGATCGGAATGGAATGGAATGGAATACAACGAAGTCGAATGTAACGGAGTGCAATGTAATTGATTCGAATGCAATGGAATTAAATGGAATGTAATCAAATGAAATGGAATGGAATGCAATGGAATGGAACAGAATGCAATGCAATGGATTGGAACTGAGTGGAATCGAGTGGAATGGAATCGAATGGAATGGACTTGAACAAAATGGAATCAAAAGGATTGGATACAAACGGCACAGAATAGAATGAATGGAATGGAATGCACTCTAATGGAAAAGATTGGAATTCAATGGACTCAAATTGTATGAACTGGAGTGGGATGGAATCGAAAGGAATGGAAACGAATAGAATGGAATGGAATGGAATGGAAAGGAATTAAAGGAATAGATTGGAATGGAATCGGATGGAATAGAATGGAGTCTACTGGAATAGAATTGAATGGAATGTAATCGATTGGAATGGACTTGAACAAAATGGAATCAAACGGATTGGATTCAAATGGCACAGAATAGAATGAATGGAATGGAATGCACTCGAATGGAAAGGATTGGAATGGAATGGACTCGAATTGTATGGACTGGAGTGGAATGGAATCGAATGGAATGGAAACGAATAGAATGGAATGGAATGGAATGGAATGGAATGGAGTGGAATGGAATGGAAAGGAATTAAAAGGAATAGATTGGAATGGAATCGGATGGAATGGAATGGAGTCAATTGGAATAGAATTGAATGGAATGGCATCAAATGGAATGGAATGGAATGTACTCGAAGGGAATGGTATCAAATGGCGTAGAATCGAATGGAATGGCAACGAATGGAATGGAATGGAATGGAATGGACCCAAATGTAATGGACATGAATGGAATGCACTCAAATAGAATGGACTCGAAAAGAAAGGTCTCGAATGGTATTTATTCAAATACAATGGAATCGAATGGAATGGAAACGAATGGAATGGAAACGAATGGAATGGAATCGAATGGAATGGTCCGGAATTGAATGGACTGCAATAGTACAGACTCAAATGTAATGGATTGCAATGTAATTGATTCGAATGCAATGGAATCGAGTGAAATGGAATGGAAAAGAAGGGAATGGAATGGAATGGAAAGGAATAGAATGGAATGGAATCGGATGGAATGAAATGAAGTGGAATGGAATCGAATGGAACAGAATCGAACGAAATCGCTTCGAATGGAGTAGAATGGACTCGAGTGGAATAGAACAGAATGGAATGACATCAAAAGGAATGGAATGGAATGGAATGGAATGGAATTGACTGAAATGTAATGGACTCGAACTGAATGTAAACAAAAAGCATGGACTCGAAATGAATGGTCTCGAATGGAATTTATCTGAATAGAATGGAATCAAATGGAATGTAATAGTATGGAATGGAATTGAATGAAATGGAATCGAATCGAATGGACCAGAATGGAATGGAGTTGAATGGAATGGACTGGAACAAAATGGAATGTAACGGATTGGAATCAAACGGAACGGAAAGGAATGGAATGGAATGGACTCAAATAGAATAGAGTCGAATGGAATGGACTGGAACAAAATGGAATCGAACAGATTGGAATTGAACAGAACGGAATGGAAGGGAATCGAATGGAATAGACTCGATTGGAATGCTGTCGAATGAAACGGAATTGAATGAAATGGAATCGAATAGAATGGAATTGAATGGAATGGAGAGGAATAGAATGGAACGGAATGTAATTGAAATTTATCGAGTGGAATGGAATGCAATGGACTTGAATGGAATGAAGTGGAATGGAATGGAATCGAATGGAATGGAGTGGAGTGTAAAGGACACGAATGGAATTGGAACGAATGGATTGGAATGGAATGGAAAGCAATAGAATGGAATGGAATCGGATGGAACAGAAAGGAATAGAATGGAGTTGAATGGAATAGAATCAAATGGAATGGCATCAAATGGAATGGACTCAAACGGAATGGACTCAAAAGGAATAGAATGGAATGGAATGGCATTGAATGGAATGGAATGGAATGGAATGGAATGGAATGGAATGGACCCGAACATAATGGACTCGAATGGAATCGACTCAAATAGAATGGACTCGAAAGTAATTGTCTCGAAAGGAATTCATTCAAATAGAATGGAATCGAACAGGTTGCAATAGTATGGAATGGAATCAAATGGAATGGAACGGAATGTAATGGACTAGAATAGAACAGACTCGAAAGTAATGGATAGCAGTGTAATTGATTCGAATGGAATGTAATCAAGTGGAATGTCATCAAATTGAATAGAATGGAATGCAATGGAATGGAAGAGAATGGAATGCAATGGAATTGAACGGATTGGAATCAAGTGGAATGGAATCGAATGGAATGGAATCGAATTGAAAGGAATCGAAGGGAATGGACTGGAATTGAATGGACTCATATTTAATGGACTGGAACAAAATGAACTCGAACGGATTGGTATCAATTGGAACGGAATGGAATGAAATGAAATGGATTGGAATGGCAGGGAGTCGAACGGAATGGAACCGAATGGAATGGAATTCAATGTAATGGAATTGAATGAAATCTAAAGGAAGAGAATGAATGGAGTGTAATGGAAAGATATAGAATGGAATGGAATGGATTGGAAAGGAATGGACTCGAATGGAATATACTGGAATGGAATGACTCGAATGGATTGGACTGGAGTGGAATGGACTCGAATGGAATGTTAACAAATCGATTAGAATGGAATAGAATGGAATGGAATGAAAAGGAATAAAATGGAATGGAATCGGATGGAACAGAATGGAATGCAATGGATTGGAATGGAATGGACTCAAATGGAATGGAATGGACTCGAATGGAACGGCATGGAATGGAATGGACTCGAAAGGAATGGACTGGAGTGGAATGGACTCAAAAGAAATGGACTGGAGTGGAATGCACTCGAATGGAATGGAAACGATTGGAATGGAATGGAATGGAATGGAATGGAATGGAATGGAATGGAATGGAAAGCAAGGGAAAGGAATAGAATGAAATGCAATTGGACGGAATGGAATGGAATGGAGTCGAATGGAATAGAATCAAATAGAATCAAATAGAATGGCCTCGAATGGAAAGGAATGGAATGGAATGAATCGGAAAGGAATAGAATGCAAAGGAATCGGATGGAATGGAATGGAAGGGAATTGAGTTGAATGGAATAGAATCAAATGCTATGGCGTCGAATGGTATGGAATGGAATGGAATGGAATGGAATGGAATGGAATGGAATGGAATGGACTCGAATGGACTGGACTGGAGTGGAATTGACTTGAATGGAATGGACTGGAATGAAAGGGACTTGAATGGAATGGACTGAAGTGGAATGGACTGGAATGGAATGGACTCGAATGGAATGGACAGGAGTGGAATGGAGTCGAATGGAATGGAAAAAAATGGAATGGAATACAATGGAATGGAATATAAAGGAATAGAATGGAATGGAATCGGATGGAATGGAATGCAAGGGAATGAAGTCGAATGGAATAGAATCGAATGGAATGGCATCGAATGGAATTGTATATAAAGAACTCGAATGGATTTGACACGAATGGAATAGAGTCGAATGCAATCGCCTTGAATGGAATGGAATGGATTGGAATAGAATGGAATGGAATGGAATGGACACAAATGTATCGGACACGAATGGAATGGACTCAAATAGAATGGACTTGAAAGAAATGGTCTTGAATGGAATTTATACTAATAGAATGGAATCGAAAGGAATGGAGTCGAATGGAATGTAATCAAATGGAATGGACTGGAATTCAACGGATTCGATTGGAATGGAGTGGAACAAAATGGAATCAAATGGATTGGAATCGAACAGAATGGAATGCAACGGAGAGGAAAAGAATGGACGTCAATGGAATGGAGTCAAATGGAATGTAACCAAATGGAACGGAATTGAAAGGAAATGAAAGGAATAGAATAGAATGGAGTGTAATGGAAAGATATCGAATGGAATGGAAAGGAGTGGAATCGACTCGAATGGAATAGACTGGAACGAAATAGTCTCGAATGGAATAGACTGGAACGAAGTGGAATCTAATAGAATGAAATGGAGTGGAATGGAATCAAAAGGAATGGAAACGAATGGAATGGAATGGAATAGAATGGAAAGGGATAGAATGGAATGGAATTAAATGGAATGGAATGGAATGAAATGGAGTCCAATGGAATAGAATCGAATGGAATGGCAAAAGAGAGAATGGAATGGAATGGAATGGAATGCAATGGAATGGAATAGACATGAATGGAATGAATTCAAATGGATTAGAATACAATGGAATGGCATCGAATGGAATGGAAAGGAAGGGAGTGTAATGGAGTGATATCGAATGGAATGGAATTGAATGGAAAGGAATGAGCTCAAATGGAATGGACTGGAATGGAATGGACTCGAATGGAATTGACTGGAGTGGAATGGACTCAAATGGAATGGACTGGAATGGAATGGAATCGAATGGAATAGACTGCAGTGGAGTGGTCTCGAATGGAATGGAAACGAATGGAATGGAATTGAATGGAATGGAATTTAAAGGAATAGAATGTAAGGAATTGGATGGAGCGGAATGGAATTGAATGGATTTGAATAGAATAGAATCGAATGGAATGGCATTGAATGGAATGGAATGGAATGGACTCGAATGGAATGGACTCGAATGGAATTGAATAGAATGGAATGGCATCGAATGGAGTGGAATGGAAGGGAGTGCAATGGAAAGATATTGAATGGAATGGAATGGACTCGCATGGAATGGCCTGGAATGGAATGGACTCGAATGGAATGGACTGGAGTGGAATGAACTCGAATGGAAAGAAACGAACTGAATAGAACGGAATGGAATGGAAAGGAATAGAATGGAATTGAATCGGATGGAACAGAATGGAATGGAATGAAGTCGAATGGAATAGAATTGAATTGAATGACATCAAATGGAATGGAATGGAATAGAAAGGACTCGAATGGAGTGGACTCAAATGGAATAGAAACAAATGGAATGGTATCGAATGGAATGGAATGGAATGGAATGGATCCCAATGTAATGGACTCGAAAGGAATGGACTCAAATAGAATGGACTCGAAAGGAATGGTCTCGCATGGAATTTTTCAAATAGAATGGAATCGAATGGAATGCAATAGTATGGAATGGAATTGAATGGAATGGAATCGAATGGAATGGACCGGAATGGAATGGAGTGGAATAGAATGGACTCAAATGTAATGGATTGCAAAGTAATTGATTCGAATGGAATGGAATCGAATGGAATGTAACCGAATGGAATGGAATGGAGTGCTATTTAATGGAATAGAATGGAATGCAATGGAATGGAACAGAGTGGAATCGTGTGGAATGGAATCAAATGGAATAGCATCGAATGGAATGGACTGGAATGGAATGGACACGATTGGAATGGACTGGAACAAAATGGAATCGAACGGATTGGAATATAATGGAACGGAATGGAATGGAATGGAATGGAATGGACTTGAATGGAGTGGAGTAAAATGGAATGGAATCGAAAGGAATGGAAAAAAATGGAATGGAATTGAATGGAATCGAAATGAATAGAATGGAATGGAATTTAATGGAAAGATATCGAAGGGAATGGAAAGGAATGGAATCGGATGGAATGGACTGGAATGGAATGGACTCGAATGGACTGGACTGGAGTGGAATGGACTCGAATGGAATGGAAAAGAATAGAATGGAATAGAATCGGATGGAATGGAATGGAATGGAGTCAAATGGAATAGAATTAATTGGAATGGCATCGAATGGAATGGAATTGAATTGAATCAAAATGAATAGAATGGAATGGAGTTCAATGGAAACATATTGAATGGAATGGAAAGGAATGGACTTGGATGGAATGGACTGGAAAGAAATGGACTCGAATGGAATAGACTAGAGTGGAATGGACTTGAATGGAATGTAAACGAATGGAATGGAATGGAACAGAAAAGAATAGAATGGAATGGAATCGGGTGGAGTGGAATGGAATTGAGTCGAATGGAATAGAATCAATTAGAACGGCATCGAATGGAATGGAATGGAATGGAATGGAATGGAATGGAATGGAATGGAATTAAATTAAATGGACTCGAATGCAATGGCCTCGAATGGAATAGAATCGAATGGTATGGCATCGAATGGAATGGAATGGAATGGAATGGACCCACATGTCATAGACTCAAACAGAATGGACTCAAATACAATGGACTCGAAAGGAATGGTCTCGAATGGAACTTATTCGAATAGAACGGAATCAAATGGAATGCAATAGTATGGAATGGAATCGAATGGAATGGACCAGAATGGAGTGGAAAAGAATGGCCTTGAATGCCATGGATTGCAACGTAATTGATTCGAATGGAATGGAATCAAATGTAATGTAATCAACTGGAATGGAATGCAATGCAATGGAATGGAATGGAGTGAAATCGAGTGGAATGGAATCCAATGGAATGGAATCGAATGGATTGCAATCGATTGGAATGAGCTGGAATGGAATGGACACGAATGGAATGGACTGGAACAAAATGGAATCGAACAGATTGGAATCTAACGATACGGAATGGAATGGAAGGAATGGCCTCGAAAGGAATGGAGTGGAATGGAAGGGAATCAAATGGAATGGAATCAAATGGAATGGAAATGAATGGAATCAAAAGGAAAAGAAGTTAATGGAGTGTAAAGGAAAGATAACGAGTGCAATGGAATGGAATGGAATGGACTTGAATGGAATGGAATGCAATGGACTCGAATGGAATGGACTGGAGTGGAATGGACTCGAATGGAATGGAAATGAATGGAATGGAATGGAATGGAATGGAATGGAATGGAATGGAATGCAATGGAATGGAATAGAATGGAATGGAATCGTATGGCACTAAATAGAATGGAATGGAGTCTAATGAAGAGGAGTTGAATGGAATGGCATCGAATGGAGTGGAATTGAATGGATTTGAAAGGAATGAACTCGGATGGAATAGAATAGCATGGAATGGCAACGAATGGAATGGAAAAGTAGGGAGTGAATTACAAGATATCGAATGGAATGGAATGGAATGGAATTGACTCAAATGGAATGGACTGGAATGGAATGGACTCGAATGGAA
>NT_187511.1:0-11283 GCF_000001405.40 Homo sapiens | reverse complement strand
AAACGACTTGAACGCAATGGATTGGAATGGAAAGGAAAAGAATGGAATGGAATCGGAAGGAATGGAATGGAGTGAAATGGAGTCAAAAGGAATAGAAACAAATGCAATGCAATCGAATGGAATGAAATGCAATGGACTCGAATGGAATGGACTCGCATGGAATAGAATTGAATGGAATGGCATGGAATTGAATGGAATAGAATGGAATGCAATAAAATGGAACGGAGTGGAATCGAGTGGAATGGAATCGGAAGGAATGGAATGGAGTGAAATGGAGTCAAAAGGAATAGAAACGAATGCAATGCAATCGAATGGAATGAAATGCAATGGACTCGAATGGAATGGACTCGCATGGAATAGAATTGAATGGAATGGCATGGAATTGAATGGAATAGAATGGAATGCAATAAAATGGAACAGAGTGGAATCGAGTGGAATGGAATCGAACCAAATGGAATGTAATGGAATGGAAAGGAATGGAATGGAATGGACCCGAATGGAATGGAGTCAAATGGAATGGAATCCAATGGAATGTAATTAAATAGAATGGAATTGAATGCAATTGAAAAGAATAGATAGAATGGAGGGAAATGGAAATATATCGAATCTAATAGAATGGAATGGAATGGACGCGAATGGAATGGACTGGAATGGAATGGACTCGAATGGAATGGACTGGAGTGGAATGGTCTCGAATGGAATGGAAAGGAATGGAAGGGAATGTATTGGAAGGGAAAGTAATATAATGGAATGGAATCATATGGAACGGAATGGAATGGAATGGAGTCAAATGGAATAGAATTGAATGGAATGCAATCAAAGGAATGGAATGCAATGGACTCGAATGGAATGGACTCGAATGGAATAGAATAGAATGGAATGGCATGGAATGGAATGAAATAGAATGGTATGCAATAAAATGGAATGGAGTGGAATCGAGTGGAATTGAATCAAACCGAAAGGAATGGAATGGATTGGAATGGACCCGAATGAAATGGTGTAGAATGGAATGGAATCGAAAGGAGTGGAATTGAATAGAATGGAATTGAATGTAATCGA
The DNA here is from genome assembly GCF_000001405.40 of Homo sapiens. Lineage (NCBI taxonomy): Eukaryota > Metazoa > Chordata > Mammalia > Primates > Hominidae > Homo > Homo sapiens. The sequence goes on along the minus strand of NT_187511.1, from coordinate 10,224 downwards.
AAGGAATAGAAAGAATGGAGGGTAATGGAAATATATCCAATGGAATAGAATGGAATGAAATGGACTGGAATGGAATGGAATAAAATGGAATGGACTGGAGTGGAATGGACTCGAATGGAATGGAAACGAATGGAAGGGAATGGAATGGAATGGAATGGAATGGAATCGGATGGAAAGGAATAGAATGGAATGGAATTGGATGGAACGGAATGGAATGGAATGGAGTTGAAAGTACTAGAGTCGAATGGAATGGGATCAAATATAATGCAATGTAAGGGAATGGAATTGAATAGACTTGAATGGAATGGACTTGAATGGAAAAGAATGGAATGGAATGGCATCGAATGGAATGGGATGGAATGGAATGGAGGGTCCCAAATGTAATGGACTCAAATGGAATGGAGTCAAACAGAATGGAATCAAAAGGAATAGTATCGAATAGAATTTATTCGAATAGACGAATCGAATGGAATGCAATAGTATGGAATGGAATCAAATGGGGTGGACTGGAATGGAACGGATTGGAATAGAACTGACTCGAATGTAATGGACTGCAATGTAATTGATTTGAAAGGAATGGAATAGAATGCAATGTAATCAAATGGAATGGTAAGGAATGAAAAGGAATGGAATAGAATGGAATGCAATGGAATGGAAAAGAGTGTAATCGAGTGGAATGGAATTGAATGGAATGGAATCGAATTGAATGGAATCGATTGGAAAGGACTGGAATGGAATGGATTCGAATGGAATGGACTGGAACAAAATGGAATCGAAATAATTGGAATCGAATGGAAAGGAATGGAATGGAATGCAATGGAATGGACACGAGTGGAATGGAGTCAAATGGAATGGAATCGAATGGAATGGAATTGAATAGAATGGAATTGAACTGAATCGAAAGGAACAGAATGGAATGGAGTGTAACGGAAAGATAACGAATGGAATGGAGTGGAAAGGAATGGAATGGACTCGAATGGAATGGACAGGAAAGGAATGCACTCGAATGGAATGGACTGGTGTGTAATGCAATCAAATGGAATTGAAACAAATTGAATGCAATGGAATGGAACAGAAGGGAATAGAATGGAATTGAATCGGATGGAATGGAATTGAATGGAGTGGAGTCAAATAGAATAGAATTGAATGGAATGGCATCAAATGGAATGGAATGGGCTCGAAATGAGTGGATTCGAATATAATAGAATAGAATAGAATGGCATTGAATGGAATGGAATGGAATGGAATGGACTCAAAAGGACTGGACTCGAATGGTATAGAATGGAAAGGAATGGCATCCAATGGAATGGAATGGAATGAAATGGAATGGAATGGAATGAAATTGAATGGAATGCAATGGACCCAAATTTAATGGATTCGAATGGAATGGATTCAAATAGAATGGACTCGAAAGGTATGGTCTCGAATGGAATTTATTCGAATAGAATGGAATTGAATGGAAAGCAATAGTATGGAATGGAATCGATGGAATGGAAACGAATGGAATGGACCGGAATGGTATGGACTGGAATAGAACGTACTCGAATGTAATGGATTGCAATGTAATTGATTCGAATGGAAAGGAATCGAATGGAATGTAAGCAATTGGAATGGAATGGAATGAAATGGAATGGAGAAGAATGGAATGCAATGGAATGGAATGGAGTGGAATCGAGTGGAATGGAATCAAATGGAATGGAATTGAATGGAATGGAATCGAGTGGAATAGAATAGAATGGAATGGACTTGAGTGTAATGTAATTGAATGGACTCGAATGGAATAGAATCTAATGGAATGGAATGGAATGGAATGGAATGGAATGGAATGGAATGGAATCGAATGGACCCAAATGTAATGGACTCGTATGGAATGGACTCAAATAGAATGGATTAGAAAGGAATGCTCACGCGTGGAATTTATTCAAATAGAATTTAATCAAATGGAATGTAATAGTATGTAATGGAATCGAATGGAATGGACAGGAATGGAATGGACTGGAATAGAACGGACTTGAATGTAATGGATTGCAATGTAATTGATTTGAATGTAATGGAATTGAAAGGAATGGAATCAAATGGAATGGAATGGAATGCAATGGAATATAATAGAATGCTATGTAATGGAATCGAATGGAATGTAATCAAATGGAATGGAATGGAATGGAATGCAATGGAATAGAATAGAATGCTAAGTAATAGAATGGAATGGAGTGGAATCGAGTGGAATGGATGGGAATGGAATGGACACAAATAAGAAAACTGGAACAAAATGGAATGGAACGGATTGGAATCGAACGGAACAGAATGTCTAGAATAGAATGGAATGCACTTGAATGAAATGGAGTCGAAATGAATGGAGTCGAAATGAATGGAATCGAATGGAATGGAATCGAATGGAATGGAATTGAATAGTATCGAAAAGAATAGAATGGAACGGAGCGTAATGGAAAGATATCGAATGGAATGGAAAGAAATGGACTCGAGTGGAATGGACTGGAATGGAATAGACTTGAATGCTATGGACTGGAGTGGAATGCAGTCAAATTGAATGCAAACAAATGGAATGGAATGGAATGGAAAGGAATAGAATGGAATGGAAATGGATGGAACACAGTGGATTGGAATGGATTCGAATTGAATAGAATTGAATGGAATGGCAATGAATGGAGTGGAATGAAATGGACTGGAATGAAATGGAATGGAATGGAATGAAATGGAATGGAATGAACTCTAATGGATTGTATTCCAATGGAAGAGAATCAAATGGCATGGCATCGAATGGAATGGAATGGAATGGAATGGAATGGAATGCAATGGACTCATATTTAATGGACACGAATGGAATGGACTCAAATAGATTGGACTCGAAAGGAATGGTCTCGACTGGAATTTATTCAAACAAAATGGAATTGAATGGAATGCAATAGTATGGAACAGAGTCAAATGGAATGGAATCGAATGGAATGGACCGGAATGGAAAGGAATGGAATAGAAAGGACTGAAATGTAATGGATTGCAATGTAATAGATTTGAATGGAATGGAATCGAATGGAATGTAATCAAATGGAATGGAATGGAATGCAATGGAATGGAATAGAATGGAATGCAAGAAAATGGAATGGACTGGAATCAAGTGGAATGGAATCGAATGGAATGGATTCCAATGGAATGAAATCAAACGGAGTGGACTGGAATGGAATGGATTCGAATGGAGAGGACTGGAACAAAATGGAAACGAATGGATTGCAATCGAATGGAATGGAATGGAGTGGAATGGAATAGAATCTAATGGAAAGAGTGGTGGAATGGAATGGAATGGAATGGAATGAAATGGAACCAAATGTAATGGACTCGAATGGAATGGACTCAAATAGAATGGACTCTAAAGGAATGGTCTCGAATGGAATTTATTTGAATACATTGGAATCGAATGGAATGCAATAGAATGGAATGGATTGGAATCAAATCAAATCGAATCGAATGGACTGGAATGGAATGGACTGGAATAGAATGAATTCGAATGTAATGGATTGCAAAGTAAATGATTTGAATGGGATGGAATCGAATTGAATGTAATCAAAAGGAATGGAATGCAAGGCAATGGAATGGAATAAAATGGAATGCAATGGAATGGAATGGACTGGAATCGAGTGGAATGGAATGGAATCGAATGGAATGGACTAGAATGGAATGGACTCCAATGGAATGTACTGGAACAAAATGGAAACGAAAGGATTGCAATCGAATGGAATGGAATGGAATGGTCTCAAATGGAATGGAGTCGAATGGAATTGAATAGAATGGAATGGAATCGCATGGAATGGAATTGAATGGATTCGAAAAAATAGAATGGAATGGATTGTAATGGAAAGATATCGAATGGAATGGAATGGAATGGAATGGAACGGAATCGCATGGAATGGAATTGAATGGATTCGAAAAGAATAGAATGGAATGGATTGTAATGGAAAGATATCGAATAGAATGGAATGGACTCGAATGGAATGGAATTGAATGGATTCGAAAAGAATAGAATGGAATGGATTGTAATGGAAAGATATCAAATAGAATGGAATGGACTCGAATGGAATGGATTGGAATGGAATGGAGTCGAATGGAATTGACTGGAGTGGAATGGACTCGAATTGAATGGAAATGATTGCAATGGAATGGAATGCAAAGGAATAGAATGTAATGGAATCGGGTGGAATTGAATGGAATGGAGTTGAATAGAATAGAATCAAACGGAATGGCATCAAATGGAATGGAATGGAATCGAATCAAATTTACACGAATGGAATAGAATCGAATGGAATGGCTTCGAATGGAATGGAATGGAATAGAATGGAATGGAATGTACCCAAATGTAATGGACTCGAATGGAATAGACTCAAATAGAATGGACACGAAAGGAATGATCTGGAATGGAATTTATTCGTATAGAATGGAATCAAATGGAATGCAATAGAATGGAACGGAATTGAATAGAATGGACCAGAATGGAATGCACTGGAATAGAAAGGTCTAATATAATGGATTGCAATGCCATTGATTTGAATGGAATGGAATTGAGTGAAATGTAATCAAATTGAATGGAATTGTATGCAAAGGAATGGAATACAATGGAATGCAATGGAAAGGAGTAGAGCAGAATCGAGGGGAATGGAATCGAATGGAATAGTGTGGAATGGAATAGAATGGAAAGGAATAGAATGGAATGGAATCGGATGGAAAGGAATTGAATTTAATGGATTCAAATGGAATGACATGGAATGGAATGGAATGGAATGGAATGGAATGAAATGGAATGGACTCGAAATGAATGGACTCTAATGAAATAGAATCGAATGGAAAGGTATCTAATGGAATGGAAAGGAATGGAGTGGAATGGAATGGACCCAAATGGAATGGACCCCAATGGAATGGACTCAAATAGAATGGACTTGAAAGTAATAGTCTCAAATGGAATTCATTCGACTAGAATGGAATCAAAAGGAATGCAATAGTATGGAACGGATTCGAATGCACTGGACCAGAATGGAATTGACTGGAATTGAACGGAATCGAATGTAATGTATTTAAAAGTAGTTGATTCGAATGCTTTGGAATCGAAAGGAATGTAATCAAACGGAATGGAATAGAATGCAATGGAATGGAATAGGAGGGAATGCAATGGAATGGAATATAATGGAATGCAAAGGAATGAAACAGAGTGTAAGAGAGTGGAATGGAATCGAATGGAATGGAATCGATTGGAATGGACTAGAATGGATTCGAATGGAATGGACTGGAACAAAATGGAATCAAACTGATTGGAATCGAATGGAAAGGAATGGAATTGAATGCAATGGAATGGACTCGAATGGAATGGAGTCGAATGGAATGGAATCAAATGGAATGGAATCGAATACAATGGAATTGAACTGAATTGAAAGGAATAGAATGGAATGGAGTGTAATGGAAAGATATAGAATGGAATGAAGTGGAATGGAATGGAATGGACTCGAAAGGAATGGACTGGAAAGGAATGCACTCGAATGGAATGGACTGGTGTAGATGGGACTCAAATGGAAATGAAACGAATGGAATGCAATGGAATGGAACGGAAGGCAATAGAAGGAATGGAATAGGATGGAATGGAATTGAATGGAGTGGAGTCGAATAGAATAGAATCGAATGGAATGGCATCGAATGGAATGGAATGGAATAGAATGGGCTCAAAATGAATGGACTCGAATAGAATCGAATGAATTGAATGGCAAGGATTGGAAAGGAATGGAATGGAATGGACTCAAATGGACTGGACTCAAATGGTATAGAATGGAATGGAATGGAATGGCATCGAATGGAATGGAATGGAATGGAATGGACCCAAATTTAATGGACTCGAATGGAATGGACTCAAATAGAATGGACTTGACAAGGAATGGTCTTGAATGGAATTTTTTCGAATAGAATGGAATTGAAAGGAATGCAATAGTATGGAATGGAATCGATTGAAGGGAATCAAATGGAATGGACCAGAATGGTATGGACTGGAATAGAACAGACTCGAATGCAGTGGATTGCAATATAATTGTTTCGAATGGAAAGGAATTGAATGGAATGTAAGCAAATGGAATGGAATGGAATGAAATGAAATGGAGTAAAATGGAATGAAAGGGAATGGAACGGAGTGGAATCGAGTGTAATGGATTCAAATGGAAAGGAATTGAATGGAATAGAATAGAATGGAATGGACTCGAATGGAATGGAATAGAATGGACTCGAAAGGAATGGACTCGAATGGAATAGAATAGAATGGACTGGACTGGAATGGAATGGAATGGACCCAAATGTAATGGACTCGTATGGAATGGAATCAAGTAGAATGGATTCGAAAGGAATGGTCTCGAATGGAATTTATTCAAATAGAATTTAATCAAATGGAATGCAATAGTATGTAATGAAATCGAATGGCATGGAATCAAATGGAATGGACATGAATGGAATGGACTGAAATAGAAAGGACTTGAATGTAACGGATTGCAATGTAATTGATTTGAATGTAATGGAATCGAATGGAATGTAATCAAATGGAATGCAATGGAATGCAATGGAATGGAATAGAATGGAATGGAGTGGAATCGAGTGGAACAGACTGGAAAAAAATGGAATGGAACAGAGTGTAATGGAATGGAAAGGAATTTAATGGAAGGGAATGGAATGCACTCGAAAGGAAAGGAGTCAAAAGGAATGGAATCAAATGGAATGGAATCGAATGGAATGGAATTGAATGGAATTGAAAAGAATAGAATGGAACGGAGCGTAATGGAAAGATATCAAATGGAATGGAATGGAATGGACTCGAATGGAATGGACTGGAATGGAATACACTCGAATGGTATGGACTGGAGTGGAATGTAGTCAAATTGAATGGAAACGAATGGAATGGAAGGAATGGAAAGGAATAGAATGGAATGAAATCGGATGGAACACAATGGAATGGAATGGATTCGAATTGAATAGAATTAAATGGATTGGCAATGAACGGAGTGGAATGGAATGGAATGGAGAGGAATGGAATGGTATGGAATGGACTCTAATGGATTGTATTTCAATGGAAGAGAATCGAATGACATGGCATCGAATGGAATGGAATGGAATGGACTCAAATATAATGGACTCGAAAGGAATGGTCTCGAATGGAATTTATTCAAACAGAATTGAATCAAACGGAATGCAATAGTATTGAATGGAGTCGAATGGAATGGAATCGAATGGAATGGACCAGAATGAAATGGACTGGAATAGAAAGGACTCGAATGTAATGGATTGCAATGTAATAGATTTGAAAGGAATGGAATTGAATGGAATGTAATCAAAAGGAATGCAATGTAATGCAATGGAATGGAATTGAATGGAATGCAAGAAAATGGAACGGACTGGAATCGAGTGGAATGAAATTGAATGGAATGGATTCGAATGGAATGAATTCAAGTGGAATGGACTGGAATGGAATGGACTCGAATGGAAAGGACTGGAACAAAATGGAAACGAACGGATTGCAATCGAATGGAACAGAATGGAATGGAATGGACTCGAATGGAATGGAGTATAATTAAATGGAACCGAATGGAATGCAATCGAATGGAATGGATTTGAATGAAATAGAAAGGAATAGAAAGGAAATGAATGGACTCGAATGGAATGGAAAGGACACGAGTGTAACGGAATGGAATGGAATGGACTGGAATTATGGAATGGAATGGAATGGAATGGAATGGAATGGAATGAATTTGAATAGAATGGATCCAAACAGAATGGAATGGAATGGAGTGTAGTGGCCTCGAATGGAATGGAATGGACTCGAATGAAATGGAATGGACTCGAATGGAACGGAATGGAATCAACTCGAGTGCAATGGAATGGAATGGAACAGAATGGATTTGAATGGAATGGAATGGAATGAACCCGAATGGAATGGAACAGAATGGAATGCAATGGAATGGAGAGGAATGGAATGAAATGGACTCGAATGGAATGGAAAGGAATGGAATGGAATGGAATGGAATGGAATGGAATGGAATGGAATGGAATGGAATGCATTTGAATTGAATGGACCCGAAAAGAATGTAATGGAATGGAATGGAATGGAATGAAGTGGCCTCGAATGGAATGGAATGGAACGGAATGGACTCGAATGAAATGTACTGGACTATGATGGAATGCAATGGGAAGGAATCAACTCGAGTGAAATGGCATGGAATGGAATGGAATGGATTCGAATGGAATGGAATGGACCCGAATGGAATGGAAGAGACTGGAATGGAATGGAGAGGAATGGAATGGAATGGAATGGAATGGAATGGAATGGAATGGAATGGAATGGAATGGAATGGAATGGATTGAAATGGAATAAAAAAGAATGGAATGGAATGTATTGGAATGGAATGGAATGGAATGGAGTCGAATGGAATGGAATGCACTCTAATGGAATGGAATGCAATGGAATACACTCTAATGGAATAGAATGGAATGGAATGGAATGGAATGGAAGGGACTCGAATGAAATGGAACGGAATGGACTCGAATGGAATGGAATGGAATCGAATGGAATTGAATGGAATGGAATGGATTCGAATAGAATGGAAAGGAATGGAATTGAATGGAATGGAATGGAATCAAGTGGAATGGAATAGAATGGACATGAATGGAATTGAATGGAAAGGAATGGACTCGAATGGAATAGAATTGAATGGACAAGAATGGAATGTAATGGAATAGAATGGACTGGAATGGAATGGAATGTAAAAGAATGGAATGGAATTGAATGGACTCGAATGGAATGGAAAGGACTTGAGTGTAATGGAATGGAATGGAATGGACTCGAGTTTTGGAATGCAATGGAATGGAATGGAAAGGAATGGAATGGAATGGAATGCATTTGAATTGAATGGACCAGAAAAGAATGGAATGGAATGGAATGGAATGGGATGGAATGGAATGGAATGGAATGGAATGAAATGGCCTCGAATGGAATGGAATTTAATGGAATGGACTCGAATGAAATGGAATGGACTCGAATGGAATGGAATGGAATGGAAACAAATTGAGTGCAATGGAATGGAGTGGAATGGTATGGATTCTAATGGAATGGAAAGGAATGAACCCGAATGGAAAGGAACAGAATGGAATGGAGAGGAATGGAATGGAATGGTGAAATGAAATGTGAGCTGAGATTGTGCACTGCACTCCAACCTGGGTGACAGAGTGAGATTCCGTTGAAAGAAAGGAATGGAATGGAATGGATTTACAATGGAATGTAATGTAATGGAGTGGAGTGGAATGGAGTGGCGTGGCGTGGAGTGAAGTGGAATTGAGTGGTATGGATTCTTATGGAATGGAATGGAATGGAGTGGAGCGGAGTGAAGTGGGGTGGAGTGGAGTGGAATGGAGTGGAATGGAATGGGATGGAAAGGAATGAAGTGAAGAGGAGTGGCGTAGAGTGGAGTGGAGTGGAATTTAGTAGTATGGATTGCTATGGAATGGAATAGAATGGAATTGCATGGAGTGTAGTGGGGTTGAGTGGAGTGGAAGGGAATGGAGTGGAATGGAATGGGATGGAATGGAATGGAGAGGAGTGGAGTGGAAAGGTGTAGAATGGAATGGAATGGAATACAGTGGAGTGTAGTGGAATGGAGGGGAGTTGAGTGCAGTGGAATGGAATGGAGTGGAATGAAGTGGAGTGGAGTGGAATGGAGAGGAGTGGAGTGGAGTGGAATGGAGCAGAGAGGAGTGGAGTGGAGTGGAGTGAATTGAAGTGGAGTGGGATGGAATGGAGTGGAGTGGAATGGAAGGGAATGGAATGGAATGGAATCGAATGGAACAGAATTCAATGGAATGGAATGGAATCGAATCGAATGGAATGGAATCGAAATGAATGGAATGGAATAGAATGGAATGGAATCGAATGGCATTGAATGGATTCGAATCAAATGTGGTGAAGTGGACTGGAGTGGAATGGAGTCAAAAGGAATGGGGTGGAATGGAATTGAATGAAGTAGAGTGCAGTGGAGTGGAATGGAGTAGAGTGGAATGGACTGGGAAGGAATGGAATTGAACGGAGTGGAGTGAAGTGGAGTGGAATGGAATGCAATGGAATGGAATGGAATGGAATGGTGAAATGAAATGTGAGCTCAGATTGTGCACCGCACTCCAACCTGGGTGACACAGTGAGATCGT